>NC_000010.11:83627943-83779458 GCF_000001405.40 Homo sapiens
AACACCATGGTACTGGTACCAAAACAGAGATATAGATCAATGGAACAGAACAGAGCCCTCAGAAATAATGCCACATATCTACAACTATCTGATCTTTGACAAACATGTGAAAAACAAGCAATGGGGAAAAGATTCCCTATTTAATAAATGGTGCTGGGAAAACTGGCTAGCCATATGTACAAAGCTGAAACTGGATCCCTTCCTTACACCTTATACAAAAATCAATTCAAGATGGATTAAAGACTTAAACATTAGACCTAAAACCATAAAAACCTAGAAGAAAACCTAAGCATTACCATTCAGGACACAGGCACGGGCAAGGACTTCATGTCTAAAACACCAAAAGCAATGGCAACAAAAGCCAAAATTGACAAATGGGATCGAATTAAACTAAAGAGCTTCTGCACAGCAAAAGAAACTACCATCAGAGTGAACAGGCAACCTACAAAATGGGAGAAAATTTTCGCAACCTACTCATCTGACAAAGGGCTAATATCCAGAATCTACAATGAACTCCAACAAATTTACAAGAAAAAAACAAACAACCCCATCAAAAAGTGGGTGAAGGACATGAACAGACACTTCTCAAAAGAAGACATTTATGCAGCCAAAAAACACATGAAAAAATGCTCACCATCACTGGCCATCAGAGAAATGCAAATCAAAACCACTATGAGATATCATCTCACACCAGTTAGAATGGCAATCATTAAAAAGTCAGGAAACAACAGGTGCTGGAGAGGATGTGGAGAAATAGGAACACTTTTACACTGTTGGTGGGACTGTAAACTAGTTCAACCATTGTGGAAGTCAGTGTGGCGATTCCTCAGGGATCTAGAACTGGAAATACCATTTGACCCAGCCATCCCATTGCTGGGTATATACCCAAAGGATTATAAATCATGCTGCTATAAAGACACATGCACACGTATGTTTATTGCGGCACTATTCACAATAGCAAAGACTTGGAACCAACCCAAATGTCCAACAATGATAGACTGGATTAAGAAAATGTGGCACATATACACCATGGAATACTATGCAGCCATAAAAATGATGAGTTCATGTCCTTTGTAGGGACATGGATGAAGTTGGAAATCATCATTCTCAGTAAACTATCGCAAGAACAAAAAACCAAACACCGCATATTCTCACTTATAGATGGGAATTGAACAATGAGAACACATGGGCACAGGAAGGGGAACATGACACTCTGGGGACTGTTGTGGGGTGGGGGGAGGGGGGAGGGATAGCACTGGGAGATATACCTAATGCTAGATGACGAGTTAGTGGGTGCAGCGCACCAGCATGTCATATGTATACATATGTAACCTGCACATTGTGCACATGTACCCTAAAACTTAAAGTATAATAATAACAATAATAATAATAAATATATATATTTATTAGTTCTTTGACTTTCTTTGAGAAATGGCGATTCATACCCTTTGCCCACTTTATTACTATATTAGTGGCTCTCTACCACTACTTACAATACGTATGAGTTCTGTATACACTAAGAATAGCAACACTTCATTCCAGTACTTCTTCAGAATATTTTGTGAATACTTTCCTTGGGTTTTCTTTATTTTTAATTTTTCTTTGAATGTTTCGTTGTTACATTTTTTAATGTAATCAAAGTCATTATTTATTGACTTTGCAACTGTCTTCACTGTTTTTATGTATACCTAGAAAGTCTCTTTCCTGCAAGGTCCAAATAAATATAGAAAATATTTTTCTCTTTTTGAAGAATAGTTTTATTTTTTAATACTTCTTTTAATTAATATAGTTAGAAATCATTTTACTGAATAATTAACTATGTCAAGAAATTATTTCTGATATCAAAACATTTATAGATTATGTTGAGATAAAAAATGTCATAAATGACCGTATATAAGAGATTTCATCAACTAGTTTTTCTTGTAGTGAAATTCTATGTTGTCTTAATAATCTTGTTCTTGGATAATATGTAAATCAGAAAAATGCTTATAAACTAGTATTAATTGTAAACAGCAACTAAAACAATTTTTATAATTTAATCTCTATAAATGTAACTGCATTTAAAGTTCTCACTGTATAAGCTGCTATAATATAAAAATAAATATAGATAGATTCTAAAATGTTAAAATTGGTTGTTTCTGGATTGTAAGGTTACTATTGATTTTTATTTTATACTCCAGTATTTTCCGATTTTCCTACAATAGGCATTTATGACTTTTAAGAATAAAAAGTAAAGGAATATTGTTTGAATTGAAAATACAGTATTGCTTTTTCCATTAACGCTTTAATAATAATAAACTTTTTCATAGGCAGTTCTTTTTTTCAAAGTGCTTTGTAGTTGTTTTCATTTCTTATTCCTTTCATGGATAAAAGGGAAAAAAAGTGGAAAATAGTTCCCTTGAGGCATGTTTCTAGGTCTGAGATTATTCAGACTCATTGGCTGCCACCTCTTTCTACATTAGTCTCCCGTTCGTGTTGTGCTTTTTGACTTCCTGTGAATACACCACACCTTTACACTGAATTCATGTCTTGGCATATGATGATCTCTTGCTTCCTTCCCCTTCCCCATCAGTTTCTGACTGCTGACAATATTCCATCTCAAGATGTTTTTCTTGGCCTTCCTGTCCACACCCCCTCTGCCTTCTCTCTTATGCTTCCTCGCACCTTGCAACATCAAGATCTGTCTCCCCTTCTGAGCCACGAACTTTCTGTTGGAAGCACTGTGTCTTATTCATCCTTTGAATAACGTGATTCTTACTCATTTGTAAGACCCAATACAATGAGCATATAGCTTCTTTACTTGGCTGCATTACATGGACATTTCAGTAAACCCTAAAAACAAAAACCTGTATACTTTCAGCATTAAAATTATATATACAGCAACCTTATTTCCTCAAATGTTAAACATAGAGTTCACATATGATCTACAAATTTGACTCTTAGGTATATTCCCAATATAAAAACTATCTTTACAAAAACTTGCATATAAATTTTAGTTAGCAGCATTACTCATTATTATTCATATTCATAATAGACAAACACTAGAAACAAATCATCCACTAACCAAGTAATGGATAAACGAATGTCATATACTCAAAAAATGGAATATTATTTGCTAATAAAAAGAAATAACATACTGATACATGCAACAACATAGAAAAACTTCAAAAACATTCTGCTAGGTGAAAAAAAAGCCAGTTGAAAAAGAACACATTATATAGTATGTCCAGAATAGGGAAACCTATGGAGACAGAAAGGAGATTACTGGCTAGCGAGGGATAGGGGTGTGTGTGTGTGTATGTGTGTGTGTGTGTAGGGTGGGAGGGATAGGGGAGTGACTATTAATGGGTATGATTTTTTTTTGGAGTGATAAAAATGTTCTAAAATTATGGTAAAAGACTATGGTGTTGGTTTTACACCTTTATAAATATATTAAATACAACTGAATTGAACACTTTAAATGGGTGAACTTCATGATAGGTAAATTATTTCTCAAAAAACTGTGTACATACACATATAGACATATATACAGAGAGAGAGAGAGAGAGAGAGAGCTTGAAACACAAAAATCCTTACTCTTTTTTTTCTGAGATGGAGTCTCACTCTGTCACCCAGGCTGGAGTGCAGTGGTGCGATCTCGGCTGAGTGCAAGCTTGGCCTCCCAGGTTCATGCCATCCTCCTGCCTCAGCCTCCTGAGTAGCTGGGACTACAGGCGCCTGCTACCTTGCCCGGCTAATTTTTTTGTATTTTTAGTAGAGAAGGGGTTTCACCATGTTAGCCAGGAAGGTCTCGATCTCCTGACCTCGTGATCTGCCCACCTCTGCCTTCCAAAGTGCTGGGATTACAGGCGTGAGCCACAAAAATCCTTACTCTTTGTGGGACTGGCAGCCCATCCTCAAACTCTACCCCATAACCTTGCCACTATCCACCACTGAAGGAGGAATGTGAAGATATGGTCATGGATAGACTCAGGAAATATGAGATTTAGCAACATCTATTGTAACTACTCTTGGTAATATTTTAATAATATGTTTACATTTTGAAGCATCAGGCTGGCCAATCAAATAGTCACAAGGTCAAAACAACCCCATTAATTCAACTATATCAAAGTGGCTGTATAGAAATGTGCTACTTTTCCACCACTTCCTAGCCCCCCAGGGATTAGTGGTCGAAGGTTTACTTCTCTGACCTTCCATAGATCCCTGTTTATGACCCTTTTATGTTGTGGTATTATTGGATTATGTGTATATTTCTCCTAAAAGGTTAGGCTAGCTAAACTATGAACCCACAGGCTGTATGGATTCATTATGGAACTCTGTCTTCTAAATACAACCTGGAAAATGATAATGTTTTATGTTTACTGAATAGAAGTTTAAAAAAAAAAGCCAAAAAATAAGAGATGGCATCACTGCTAACTTTAAAAGTGTATGCTTTCTACCTCTATTCCCAGGAAGATGTTAAGCAATTTATTTGATGTCCTTCAAAAACTATCTTTATAATGAAACAAGAGAAACCATGATTAACTATCAAATTCAACTTGCTGCACAGCATAACAAAACTACAGTGGAATAAAGAATACGGAGAATTTTGAGTCATGTGAGTAGCAGAAAACCAAATATCCTTGGTGATTTAATTTTACCTGAATAAAACAGGGGCTAGGCAAGTTGACCTCAAAAATCTTTTTTCCTAGGTCTTGTACAATTGAAATTTAAGAGCAAGGTTGCTTCTGTACCCCTATACAGACTTGGCGCTGTGCCTCCACACTAGCTGCCAGAAAGATGACAAATGACAATCAAAGAAATCACCAGGAGACAATGGCCTCTATAAGGCCCACATGCTTATTTGTTCTGAATTAAAATGCTCAAACTTCAGATTCACTCTCATCCTCTGTATTTATGGTTCCTTCTGCCTTGAAGCAAGCATAGTGAGTGCCATGATAAATTGTTGAATGTCTGTCTCATTTCCAGGCAGACCCTGTAAATTTCTGAGCTGTGCTTTGCAACCCTTCATTCTGATTTGTAGCATTCAACCACACTGTCAATGACACACAAAGGGTCTGCAAGGCCCTTTTCCTTTGGCTGAACAGTGGTCATGAGGTCCTGGCCTTTCATTATCCCCAGAATGTCACAAAACTGTGCTTAATCAGAGCATCCAGCCCTTTTCAATGAGGATGATGTGCTTGTCTTCCCAGTCAAGACTTTTGTCTAAGATGTGGCAGGTGCTGAGAGGGGCACAACCTTGTCAGGATGTGTGATTTTGGAATAGACATAGTAGGGAGGGTAAAGTCCTAAACGGAAGGTTCTCCCTGTACTTAGGATGAAACCCCAAAATATCAATCCTCTGGGACAAGTATTCTTTTCTTAAACACATATTTATAACATGCCCAGCACTCTTGTAGAAGCTGGGGAGATAGGAGAAAACAAAGCAGGGCAAGTCCTTGATCTCTTGGGGCTTAGATTATGTTCCTTTCACTGAATGAACAAAGGGGTGAATGAGTGAATGTACATGATCTTTGTCTTCACAAGAGGTTGCTAATCCCATTGCCATCTAAATCATATCTGGCCCTCTAAGCCAGGCTTACAGCACAACCTGGGCAACTAGTGAAAGTAACCTAAAGGATAAAACAGTTTTTCAAGGTTATTTTTCCATACCTTTTCATACATGAAATATTAATACCTGGCCCCTAAATTCTGGTTTTCTTTGCCAACTTCAAGATTTTTCCCTGAACCTGTATGATTCTGTTCAATCTCTCAACCTCCAGCTTGGTGGGCCTTAACGTTCATACATAATTTTCAGTTTCATATCCTCCTTCCATATTTGTGTTCTTTCAAAATTAAGTATACATCAATAGTCCAGCTCAAGGTAGCACAGAAATTCACCTACTCAGAGGACAGATTCAGATCGCTATGAAATAACTGTCTCCACGGAATCTAGAAAACAAAACGGAGTGGGAAATTAAGACTTCATCTTTTCCCATTTGCCAGATAAAGGTGCACTTTGATGCTAGACATTTACTTACAAAGACTGGACAATAAAACTGAGACCCAATTAAAGCCTGGGGTGAAAGAAGGCAGAAAAGCTGAATTTGTATCTGAGGGGTCTCTGTCTCATCAGTGTTGACGGATAATAAAGGGAGCCTAACATCCAGGGCGGCTGGAAGACTGAGCTTTCCTCAATCCCCACAACAAAGCAGAGGCTAGAACTGTAACAGAGAATCAAACCAGAAGGCAAATACTCCAAAGCACGTTCTGAATAAGAAACACAATCGTCGGCATAGGTACATTAAAATATGAAGGACTAGGCAGTGAAAAAAGAATAGAGACGAAGAGAGGAAGGAAAGACTCAACACTTCATAGTCTCACAGTAGGTGCTGAGCACTTTCACATAAAACAGTTCATTTAATATCCACAATTTTTGTGAAACAGATATTATTAAAACTCATTTTGAGAAAGGACAACAAATTGCTGAAAATCTGAGAAGTGAAGCAGCCTACATAAATCAGATAGATGATAACCAGAGAGCCAGGAATAGAACCCTCGTCTCTCTGATACCAGGAGATTCATGGTTCACCTTCATCAGCTTTATCATCATAGCAGAACAATGTGGAAGTTTACATAAAAAGTCTTCCATTTTTTTAACTTCTATTTTAGGTTCAAGGATATATGTGAAGGTGTGTTACATAGGTAAACTCATGTCACAGGGGTTTGTTGTACAGATTAGTTCATCCCCCAGAAATTAAGCCTAGTACCCAATAGTTATTTTTTCTGCTCCTCTCTCTCCTCCCACCCTCCAATAAACCTCAATGTCTATTATTTCCTTCTTCATGTTCACAAGTTCTCATCATTTACCTCCTGCTTATAAGTGAGAACATGTGGTATTTGGTTTTCTCTTCCTGCGTTAACTTGCTGAGGATAATAGCCTCCAGCTCCATCCATATTCCCACAAAAGACATGATCTTAAAAACCTTCCATTTTACTTGACTGGACTTAATGTTCTCATTTTTTTTCCTGATTTGATGGGACACTAAATGATTTGATCTATTACTAGAGAATAAGGAAAAGAGAGCATAAATTGCTATTTAATGTTCATAATTACATACCTATATCAGAATCAGCTTTTGAAAACATTGTAAAATAAATAGTATATTGTTTCCAGAGTTTATCTCCACTGTATTAAGAAGCATTGTAAGAACAGCACCGGGCTCCAGAGATTCGGGGTGACTTGGAAGATGACAGTGCAAGCGAAGTGTGTATTTTCAGCCTTTAACTGGCCTGATACCCTAAGCCTAAAGAGAATTCCTCATATTAAGATATCATAAATATTGTTTCCTACATGTTATTTACTTTAATCTTCCTAACCTCTAATGGTTCTGGTATCACTGCTATTGCCCTTTTATAATAATACTGAGAAAGTTGAAGCTCAGGATAGTTAAAACGTTATCCAAATTCTCTTCTAACACTGAACTTGCTTGTGCTAGTTTATTGCCAAGTCAAATGAGACATGACTCACTGCTCACTAGAGGTGTACTACGAGACTTCATTTGAACTATGAATATGAGTGGGAACCTGTGCAGTGTGTGTGTGTGTGTGTGTGTGTGTGTGTGTTTCCCAGCAGGTGACTTATTTATTAATACTACCAGCATATTCACACCCTGGATCCACCTACTCTTAGGCCAAACTCTGCTTCAGCACTGTGGTAGACTGTTACTCAAACCAAAGCTCCAATGGTCCTTTAGCTACATCTTGATAACAGACAAAGGATAAATGCACACATGAGTACCTGAGATCTTCAGTGCCACTGCTTTAGAACTGGTAAAATATGTTCTTTGAGCCTATAATATTGATACATTTGTATTTTTCTTTTATTTTTCTTGGCCCTGACTTTTTTCTCCTTCTACTTTATGAGTTCATTCAGTTATTTATTTAGTATATATATATGTACATGATTGGAAGAGCATAAGGAAACAAGGGTGTAAATTATAATTTTTGCATATATACATGTACATTTATGTATATGTATATGTGTACGTGAATACAGTTGGCCCTTGAACAACATGGAGTACTGTTGACTGGAAGCCTTACTAATAACATAAATAGTTGATTAATATATTTTATATGTTATATGTATTATATACTGTGTTTCTACAATAAAGCAAGCTAGACAAAAGAAAATGTAACTATGAAAACCATAAGAAGAAAAAATATATTTACTATTAATTAAGTGGGTCATAATAATGGTCTTCATCCTAGCCGTCTTCACTTTGAGTAGGCTGAGAGGAGGAAGAAGAATGGTTGGTCTTGCTATCTCAGCGATGGTAGGGGCACAAGAAAATTGACATGTAAGTGGACCTGCACAGCTCAAACTTGTGTTGTTTAAGGGTCAGCTGTATATCACACTACTATATGCCAGACACTATTCCAGGCACTTGGAGTACGGTAGTGAACAAAACAGACATAATTTTCTGCCCCTGTGGAGCTTACTTTTTTTGCAGAGGGCATTAGAAAATAAATAATAAAAATGATAAATTATAGGATATGTTAGGAATTGAAAAGTGTTATGGAATATAGGGCAGCATGGGGCTGAAGAGATATGAGTGGGGGTGCAAGCTTCACTTTTAATTAGGGTGGCTGGGTAGGCCTCTTTGACAGGATGAGATCTGAGCGAATACTCTAAGGAAGAGAGAGAAAACTATTTGGATTTGGAGGAGACTTCCAGGAAGAGTGAACAGTCAGTGCAAAGAACGTAAGGTACGAGCATGCTTGACATATTCGATAAGTAGCATGGAAGCACGTGTATGTGGCTGAAGAGAGTCAGAAGGAGAGAATAATGATAAGTTCAGTGAAGTCTGAGGGTTGCAAGTCTACAGCGTTATTGTAAAGACTTTGTCACATACTCTGAGTAAGACAGAAAAATGTCAGGAGAATTTGAGCAGGGAATAACTTTATTTGACTGACTTTTTACAAAATTCACTCCAGTTGCTATGTTTAGAATAGATCTTGTGTTGGAAAGGTTGGAGGCATGAAACCAATTTACACACTAACTGCAGAAATTCAGGCCAACGATAATGTTGGCTTGGGTCAGAGTGATAGCAGAGGAGGTGCTAATAAGTTGTCAGATGCTGAATACATTCTGAATGTAAATCCAGTAAGATTCCTTGACACTTTGGATGTGGGGTGTAAATGAAAGATAGCAGTCAAGGAAGATTCTAGGTTTTCGCCTGAGAAACTTGAAAGAAAATGTTACCACGAATTGAGATGGAGAAGGCTGCAGGTGAAGCAGATGTGAAGGTGAGACCGGGAGCAGAATTCAAAGTTCTGCTTACGTATGTCACGTTTGAGATCTCTATCTTTTCTGAGTGGAAAGGTCACGTAGGCACTTGGATATACACATTTAGACTTCCATAGAAAGTCTAGATGAGGTAAAGGCTGAGGTATAGATTGGGATCTATCAGAATACAGATGTTATGTAAGCAATATGAGTTAAAGTCACCAAAAGAGAGTGTCGAATTAAAAAGAAGAAAGCCATTACAACATTTAGAATTTAGGTAAAGGAGGAAGAAATGTAGGCAAAGAAGAAAGAACAACGAAATAGTATGCTGTATCACAGAAGTCAAGCAAGAGTACTTTTTATAAATGGAGATCTTGAATTTTATTATAAATTACCTTAAAGTTGAGGAATTTGAGGAAGCCATTGCATTTTGGCAACACGGGGTTCATTGATAACATTAAAACAGCAGATTTAGTGGAGGTATATGAATATGAACCAGAGAGGAGAGAAAGAAAGAAAGTATGATGAGGAAGCAGCACCTTGAATGGGCAATTCTTTGCGTGTAAGATAGGCTAAAGGTAAAGATTGTAAACTGTGAAGTCAGAGTATTTTCCTAAACTTAAATCATGGCTCTACTTATGTATTAGCCTTTGAATGTTGCAGCATTATTTCACTTTGCTAAGCCTCAGTTTTCTCTTCTGGAAAATACAGTTATGAATAGCACCTATTTCACAGGTGTTTTGTGAAAACTAAATGAAGTAATATATGGGAATCCCTTAGCAAAGTACCTTGTATCTAGTAGGATTTGAATAAATGTTAGCTATTATTATTTCTATTAATAAGGTTTTGAGACATTTTTCTATGAAGAGCAGAACAGAAGCAGGAGTTTTACAACCTTATGCATAGTTTTAAACATAATTCTAATTATCTTGTCATATATGTCATATGCCATATGTATATACACACACACGAGTGTACAAAGATAATGCCTCAAATATGTTACTTGAAGTTGGAATAAAAATAGTCATGGTGCACATATTTAGTAAACTGTTGCAATTGGTTTCCATTATAAGATTTAAATATAACATAATTTTGATGTCCCTGAAAGCCTCATTAAGCAGGATTCAACTGTGTAAGCATTTAGATCAAAGAGTATAGTTCTTTTGAGAGAACTTTTAGAAGTATAGAGCTTTAGAACTCTATAAGCTACTCAACTATCAGATGATTCAAGTTGTCATTGAACCATTACTTTTTAAAGTAAGTATATGCTGTGGTTGCCTGGAAACCACAATCTATCTTTGAGTTCATGAAGTTTCTGATCCAGAATTCTATATATGGGTCAAATATCATGTATTTCAACAGGATGAGAAAATCTAAAATTTCGGTAAGTGCAATCAAAGACAATGCCACAGAACTGACCCCCAGAGCTGCCAAGCAATTCAGAAGACTGGATCATGATTCAGGAGCTAAACCACCTCATTGCCAATAAGAAAACAAAACCAAACACCAAAAAAGTGACAAAAATGTAAGCATTTCCAAAGCTGATCTTTAAAATAAAGTTTAAAACATCTATGTTTACTTATATCAAAGCCAGAGTTCACAACATTCTATTCCCCTGTTTCAGCCCCAAACATCTTACAGGCTCTTTTGGTGCCATGTTTTACTGGAGTCATTTATTCAGCGACTACCAAAGATACTTAGGAGGTAAAGTTGTTCAGATTTTGCATATTGGAGGTGAGAGAAAGGAGGATCGACTGATGGAATTCACTAAGAAAGGAGATGCAGGAGATTGACCAAAGTTGGGACATGAGATCTTGAGTTCAGTTTTGAACATGTTGATTTTGAGATTCTTGTTAAATTTCTAAGTGAAGATGTCATGAAAATATTTGGGTATATGAGTTAGTGGTTCAGAGCAAAAAAATCTTAGTCTAGTGATAAAAACTTGGAAATAACACCATATAAGTTACCAATTGAAACCTTTAATCTTGGGGAAAGGAAGTAGACTGACAAGAAAATAGACCCTAAAACTAACCCTGAATAACTCTAATCTTCAAAACTCCTATCTGCTGGTTTAAGTTTCTGGGGAGGATCCACAGTAATTTAAGAAAGACTAAAAAGTAGTTATTCGAGTTAAGAGAAACAAATTTAAATAAATGGATCATATTCAATTTATGAAAGTCTATGAGTGGTTAAGTAAGATGAGAACTAAAATATATCTACTAGCATCAAGGCACAGAGGTCACTGATGTCCTTAGTAAGTAAAAAATTGGTGAAGTGCAGGCATATATTTGTTTCAATAAAATACAAGCTATTTAAGTGTGAGAGGAAACAGAAAACGCATTCCTCTGTATTTTAAGACATCTGTGAATAGAAGGAGAGAGATAGAACTGCAGCTAAAGTAAGGAGTGGAGTCTAGAGATATTTGCTTTGATTTGGTTTTATGTTGCAATCTGACATGATGTGGCAAAATGAAAATAAAAGAAACAGAAGGGATAATATAGGTATGTTTCCTGAGAAGAAAGAGAGTAAGACTCAGAACAAAGGTGCATAATGAACTAGCCACAGGCAGAAGGATGGATATTTCCTGAGAGAGAGAGAGGCTGAGAGAGACACACATAGAAAGAGAGAGAGAGAGAGAGAGAGAGAGAGAGAGAGAGAGAGAGAGAGAGAAACTGGTGCAGATGACCAGTAGAGGTTGGTTTACAGATTGATGGCTTACATTAATGAGGGTCCCATTTAAAGATCTCCCACCTCAAGCCTCCATCTGAGAATTAAGGTGAACACAGGAGAATCAAGATTTTGAGAAATATGAAGACTTCAAATAATCTTAGGAGAGATCATTGAGTAGAGAAAAATGGTCATTAATGTAGTGGTACCAACTGATTTTCTTCAATTGCATAGAAAAAGGAAGATAGCTAGAAAATTGTGTTTTATTTAGAGCAGATGAGTTCACAAGAATCAGAAGGAAAGACCAGAGTATAAGCCTTGAGAACATTGGAACAAGAAAGTATTTATGGGGAAAAACAGATTTAAATAATGTATCACAGACAGGAGAATAATATTCATAACTTATTCATTACTGTATCTCCAGCAAGGTGGGTGTGATCATTTTGTAAAAATTCATCTTGTAATATGATGATAAAATGTGCCTTTTTTCTATGTACATGCTATATTTCAATAAAACAGTTTTACAAATAAAAACAATACAAAAGTATCAGTGAATTATAAGTCCCCAGTTGTATTCAGTATACTCTAGCCAGAATGTACTTTTTTAAACATCTGCTGCTATACAAGGGAAGAGTGTACTGAACCTGCAGTTTAATTGTTTGATTTTTCAAGACATGGACATAGCACACCGAGTCATTTAAAATGTATTGGGATAACGCTGTTATGATCCTTTTTTATATCTGAAGGATCAATATTAATATACCTCTTTTTTCCTGATACTGATCGTTTTCTTTTTCTTGTTATTTCTTGATTACTTTTGGCAGGGGTTTGTCATTTTAATGGCTTTTTTCACTTAAAAAAAAGAACTATTGATTTTGTTCATTCTCTCTACCACAAGTTGTTTTCTACATCATTAATTTCTGTTCTTATCTCCTTTACTTTCTTCCTTCTATATCATTTGAATTTAATTTGCTGCTCTTTAACTTCTTGATATCAATACACAAAACAGTGTTTCTAAGTCTCTCTTTTCCAATATACATTTAGGGTTAAGGTTTTCTTCTTTTTATTGTGGTAAAATTAACATAAGTAAAAGCTACATATATTAAATGGACATTATGATGGAGTATTGGCAGATATATTTACCCATAGAGCCACCATAAAAATCAAAATATAGAACATTTTTTCTATCATTCCAGAAAGTTTCCCCCATGATCTTTTCTTGTATTTCTTTACATGAATAGAACCATAAAGGTATTATTTGTATCTGTCTTATTTCTTTTAACATATTACAATTTAGTATCTTTAAAATGTTTTCTTCTTAGTATTGAGATAAATTTTGCAACCAGTGAAATGCACAGATCTTAAATGTATAATTTCAATAAATTTTGTCAAATGTGTAACCAGTCTTCTCAATCGAGACATAGAATAATCTGTCACCCCAGGAAGATCCCTAATGTAACATTAGGCAACTACTTCTCTCAATTACATTATGCAGATTACTTTTGCCTCTTCTTTAGCTTCATATAAATGGAATTGTACAGTATGTATTTTTTAGTGTATAGCCTCTTTCACTTGGCATAATATTTTGTAGATTCATCAATGTTATAGCATGTATCAAGGGTGTAATCTTTCATAGTGCTAAGAAGTATTCCAAGTACCAATATATCATAATTTCTTTGTGCAAAAATTGTTTATGCAAAATGTTTATGCAAAATTATGTTTATTATTTAGCTACCATTAATGGACATTAGGATTTTCTCTTTAGTAGTTGATCATTATGAATAAAGTTACTTTAAACTTTTTTATGTAAGTCTGTTTGTGGATATAGGTCTTCATTTCTCTTGAATAAATTTCTAGAATTACTAGGTAAACAGATAGATGTAGATTTACTCTTATAAAAAACACATAGTTTTTTAAAGTGATTGGATCACTTTACTGACCTAAATCAGTGACATGTGTGGGTGTTCAATTTATTCCACATATTATTCAACACTGGGGATTGTCAGCTTATTAAATTTTAGAAATTATAGTGGTAGGAAGTATTATCTTACAGTGGTTTTAATTTGGATTTTTCCGTAACTAACAGTATTGATCCCTTTTAATGTGATTTGGGGCATTTATTCATATTTTATGAAAGCTTATGTTCACGTCCACTGCAATTTTTTGCATGTTTTCAAATTATTGATTCGTAGACATTCTTTATATATTTTGGATAAAAAGTCATTCTCCAAATGCTTTCTATGCCTCCATTAATAAGATAATGTTGTTTTTCTTCATTATGTTAATATGGGTATAAAGGATAAAGTGAGTTTACAGCTGGATTAGGATAATATAATTACATGCATAGATGCTTGGAAGTTTGGCACTGACTCTTGACTAAGATATAGACAGTGTGATAAACAATGTTTATCGTGTGATGTTTAATATTTGAAACTCCCCTGGCAGCATACATGAATGATTTATACTTGGCATAATCATATAGATAGTCTTCTTTGGCCATATAGCCAGAGGGGCACCAAAACTGCTGGAAAATTTAGGGAACTCTCCTGAAGCAAAGTGTTACTGCTCAATTTTTAGTGGTTGAATCCAGAGGTGAAGGACAACCCTGTGCAAATAAGAAAGACCCTAGGGAGCTGTGCCTGGAAATCTCTTGCTTGTCTGCCCAGTCTTTCTCTTGTTCTTCCCTTCTGCCCACTTTTTCTCCTCTTTATTCGGCTGTACCCTAATTTTTGCTTTATATAGATATGTTCTATGGATTTGTAGGTCTTTTCAATTATCCATTACTGTTGTAATCTTTGCAAAGAGGAAATACATTTATTGATGGGCAACCACTAAATTGAACTTCCTGGGATTAGCATACCTAATAGACTGTGCCTTCTTTTTGTTTTCAGAATTTGGCTATTTCATCTAAATTTTTAGGATCTTAACATAAAATTGTTTGTGGGAGTCACTTATTGTACTTGTAATATCTGTAGGATCTCTAATGGTAGCCCCTTTTTTCATTTCTGATATTGATAATTCTGTCTTTGTCTCTTTCTCTTCCTCTCTCTTCTATCTCTCTCTTTCTATTGCTCTCTGTGTATGTCTAAGTGTGTGTGTGTGTGTGTGTGTGTGTGTGTGTGTGCGCAGACATGCATGTCTCTCTCTTTTGATTAGTCTTGCTAGGGTTATATCAATTGCATTAATTTTTCTAGAGACCAGCTTGGACTTTCTTAATTTTCTCTATTGTCATGAATTTTCTATTTTATCTTTTTGCTTTCATCTTATTTACTTCATTTTCTGTATTTTACGTTTAAGTTGCCCATTTTTTTCTATATTCTTAAGGGGAAACTTAGTTCGCTAATTTTAAACAGTTCTATTTTTCCAAGATAATCATTTTAGTCTGTGAATTTTCTTCTAAACATTGTTTTATTCATATCCACCAATTTTTAAATATTGTGTCGTTATTTTTAGTGAGTTCAAAATATGTCTTAATTTTCTTATATTTCTTTTCTGATACACATGTTATTTAGAAGGGTAATAATATGACAAAATATGTAATTTTTCTGGGTTTCTTACTTTTTTAAAAGTTTTATTATATTAGAATAAGAAAAGAAATCATAGGATTTTGAATTCTAAAAATTATTGAGATGAATTCAGTCATCATTATATCACTTTCTTTGTGCAGGTTCCATGTGTATTTGAAAGGGATGTTGCTGTTCATATTCTTTTACAGATTTTATATATTCCTAATGTTTTTTATTTAATATTTAAATCAGTGTTAAAAGAGGAGAGTTAATATCAACAACAATAAGTATAGACTTATCTCTCTTCTCTTTTGCTATTTTTGCTTCAGGCATTTAAAGTTTGCCTCTTCTTTTTTTTTTTTTTTTTAAGAGAAAATTCTCACTCTGTCACCGAGGCTGGAGTTCAGTGGTGCAATCATAGCTCACTGTAGCCTCAAAATCCTGGGTTCAAGTGATCCTTCCACCTCAACCTCCCAAAGTGCTGGGATTACAGGTGTGAGCCACTGTGCTTAGACTGAAGCTTGCCTCTTTTATTATTGTGTAGTATCTTTTTAAAGTTTGAAAGTACTTCTTTTTTGAAGTTTATTTCATTTAATATTAATCTAGCCACTCAAATTTTATTATGCATACATTTTTATAGTGCATCTTTTTCCTCTTTTACTTTGAACTTTTCTGGCCTGTATCATTAAACCATATCTCCTCTCCTCTGTTGAGAATATGTTGTTGAAGGACTTTGCTTTTTTTTTAATCTTATCTGAAAAATTCTCTCTATTTGCCTTTTTAGTACATTTACACTTAATATAATTATATATATGTTTAGTCTAGGTCCATAATTTTGCTACTTGTTTGCTTAATACTTTTGTAGGTAAGGTCTCTGGTGTTTATGTGAAACCATTTGACCCCTGCCACTCTGAGTTACCATCATCCTCATTGAATTCAGGAAGCCAAATTCAATAGCAACATCTCCCACTGTCATTTTTGGCTTAGGTAATAGCCACTATAGACCCACAAAAATTAAGCAAAAGAATGACAGTACTCACCTCACTAATGTACTTTTAAAGTCTTGATGAAAAAAGTGTCTCCTACACCATCGTGTGAGACACAGGGAGTAAATGAGCAGGTCTAACATAATATTTCAGTCTAGCATTTCAACTTCCTTTAAATTGGATACTTGTCTGTACTAGACTAAGCAAATTTTCGTATTTTCTCTTCAATAATTGTAGGCCACTTTTAAGTTCATGTTTCAGCCAACTAACAAAGCATACTTTTAAAGCCAATATCAATTTATACAATCAATTAAGAATCTCTGCTTAGAGTACCCAAGTCAACAAATTCATCCCATGATAACTACATTTCTTCTACCTTTACTCTATGTCCTTAGAATTGTTTTCCAGACACCTTCTTTAGATTTGTATAAATATAAATTAGATAAATTTTGCGAAACATTGGGCAGAGGAAATTATGGCATGCACTTATGAGTCACACTTTGTTCTTGACTCTCAGGATCTGTTTGGAATTAAACCTGTTTATAAATCTAAGAGCAAGACCTCTGGTAGAAGTCTTTGGCGTAGGTGTTAAGAAATATCACTAGTTTCCTTTAAGACAAACTTAGAAGAGACCATTTGCTTTCTTGTCAAAGGAGTGTTGATGGGGTGAGGGGCTGCTGTTTCTATTGGCAAAGACAGCTCAGCAATATTTGGAAGATCAAAGTTCTTAGCATAAAAATCTGCCCAGAAGCTGGGTGCAGATGTTCACACCTGTAATCCCAGCACTTTGAAAGGCTGAGGCAGGAAGATTGCTTGAGACCAGGAGTTTGAAACCAGCCTGGGTGACAAAGAGAGACCCTGATTCTACATAAAATAAAATTACCTGGGTGTGGAGGTACACACCTGTAGTTTCAGATATTTAGGAGGCTAAGGTGGGAGGATCGCTTAAGCCCAGGAAGTTGAGGCTGCAGTGAGCTGTGATGGCACACTGCACTCTAGCCTGGGTGACAGAGCCCCAATACTTTATAATCAATGCCCTAACTTTACCAAAAGAGACCTTCAAAGATTGTGAATTCATTTACATTGCAATCCACCCACCCACAGGTTTAACCTTTGTGTGTGCTTTTTAGAAACTGCAATCCTGTTGCTAATAGAGATAGGACATTTTTTTTTTTTCTGGTTTGCTGCCTAGAACTTGAGTTAAAAAGTCTTGAGCTCAAAATTTTCTTTCAGCACATTTTTCAGTAATGTAGAGGCAAACAAACAATCCACAGTTCCAATACTCCATTTCCATAAAATGTCCTATGGCATTAAATATTTGGCCATTCAAAGCTTTATTGACACTTAATTCCTGGTGACCACAGATGACAGTTTAAATAAGTGCTTGCCATAGCATGGCATGGGCTGCCAATGCATTTACTACCAGCATCAGGGTTATTAATGCCTCTAGATCTAGTCAGAAAAGAGAACCAATCCAGATTTGTATCTCTAAGATGTTGATGAAAAAACTCAAACATTGTAAAACATTTCAAGAGGCTTTCTGAGCCAAATGTGAGGACCACGACCTGTGTGTGACACAGCCTCAGGAGGTCCTAAGAGCATGTGCTCAAGATGGTTTGTTTACAGCTTGATTTTATACATTTTAGGGAGACTGAAGTTACAGGAAAAGACATAAATCAATACATGTAAGGTATACGTTGGTTCAGCCCAGAAACACAGGATATCTCAAAATAGGAGCTTCCAGGTTATATGTGGATGCAAAAATTTCCTGACTGACAATTGGTTGAAAGAATTAAGCTTTGCCAAAAAAGTTAAAGTCAGCAGAAAGAAATGCTTGGGATTAAGATAAGGGGGGTTGTGGTAGCCAAGATTCTTGTTACACAGATGAAGCCTCCAGGTAGCAGGCTTCAGAGAGAATAGATTGTAAATGTCACTTACCAGAGCTTAAAAGGTATCAGACTCTTAGTTAAATCTTTCCTGCATCAGGAAACGATCTGGAAAGAGAAAGGGGTTCTCTATAGAATATAAATTTTCCCCACAAGAGATGGCTTTGCAAGATTATTCTAAAATATGTCAAATAAATATATTTTGGGGTAAAATACTTTGATTTCCTTTAGGGCATGTTACCTGTCATGTGATGTTATTCCAGAGTTAGGTTGGAATTGGTATCTTATTGCTACAAAGAGTCTGTTCTCTCAGTCTTAGGATCAATGTTAATGCTGGTCAGTTTTATCTAAAAAACAAAAAGGAGAGGGTATAATGAAACTTGTCTCAGGCCATCTTCCCATCATGGTCTGAATTAATTTTTCAGGTTTCTTTGGAATCCTGAAAGAAATCCCCCCGTTGGCTGAGGGGGAGGGGTACATTCTGTCAGTTGGGGGGCTTAGAATTTTATTTTTGGTTTACAAAGGTTCTGTCTCTCTCAAACGCCTTCTGCTACTAATAAATGAATCAAGTAGAGATCAGAGAATCAAAGCCACTATAAGTGCTATGGGATAAGAGAACTATCATAGGAATTAGATCTTACAAAATTTTGAGAGGAGGTGGGGCAATGATAGTCTAGAAGGCAGAGTTGAGGGATCAGAGGAATAAGACATGAATCAGTCCTCCTGAAGCATTGATGTGAGGAGGTAAGTTAGAGCCTGAGAGAATCAAAGAAGCCACATGTGACCAGCTGCCAGTGGGGGATGATGAGGGGATGATGCGTAGGTGATGATGGGAAGTGAGTTCCTATGTAACTATTGCCTGTATGCATCTGCAACTAGGCATCTGGTAATAGACTGGGACCATCTGCTGGTGGGCCTTTGTGCCTGCTTGACTTATAGCTTATGGAGAAACTGAACCTGTGTGACCATTGAAGCTAGATCACAAATTCAATACAGCTCCTGCCTGGCTCTCAGAACGCTTGCCCTTAGAATCCAGCCACTATGCTATGAAGTCCAGACCATATGGAGACCAACTAAAGTCCCTGGCCCTCCAGCACAGCAGGGATCCCAGTCAATAGCCAGCACCAACTCACCAGTCATGTGCATGAGCCATCCTGGAAGCAGATCCTCTAGCTTCAGTCAAACCTTCCCCACTGACATTAAGTGGAGAAGCAATGAGCTTTCCCCACCAAGCCATACCCAAGTTGCCAATTTGTGAACAAAATAAATGTTCATTGTTGTTGTAAGCCAAGGATTAACAAACTTTCCCTGCAAAGGCCAAATAGCAAATTTTCCAAGCTTTGCAGGCCACATGCTGGCTCTGTTGTATTTTTTTTTTTTTACAAAAGTTCAAGAATAGTAAAAAAACAACAAAATATTCCTAGCATATTGACACACAAAAACAGGATGTAGGCTGGATTTGGGCCATGAGCAATAGTTTACTACATCCTATTTCAGGCCACTAAGTTTTACAGTGATCTGTTACATAGCACTAAACTATCAGAGCAATCAGTTAAATAAATTGCACAAAGCTGAATTTGGAAAATTAGGAGAAAAATGAGAATCAAGGAATCACATATGTCTGTCTGTGTGTGTATGCATGTGTTTATTTGTATACATTCATACACAAAGTACATTTCATAAGAATTCTTATAATAGCTTTATTGGCTTAAACATAGAAGATCAGATACCAAACATAAATGGAACAGCAATATATAAAAGCCCCCATTACATATATCTTATTAAAGAGAAGGGAACAAATATGTATTAAAAACCTCCCATTTTCCAGGATCTCTGTGGTACCATGGAATGCATTATTTTATTTCTCTTCAAATAGTCTTATGAAGGAGGTATTGTTATCCCTGTTTTACTAATAATGAAACTCATTTGGACAAGTCAAATAATTTTCTCAAGGTCCCATGATTATTCCTTGATTAGTAATAAGCAGAGCTTGAATTCAAACTTAGTTCTATCTACCAAATTCTAAAGTCTGTCTATGTCTTTAAGGATTAGCTGAAGTGGATCTTAAATAAAATCACTTCAGCTAAAGTATCTTTCTCACTTTGCCTGTTAGTTATACGGAGGAAGGAAGTGAGACACTGAGAGTTCCTTAGAATCAGAGCATGATATAACTGGCATTAAGGCTTAATTCCTTCTGCACATAACTATCTTATGTCTATATTTGGCTAATTTTCAGCTGTACTGTATTTAATACATACATTTATATGTAATACATTTTTATGTAATAAGGGATCTAAAAGTTTAGATACTACTGTTAGATTTCATTCATGAGCCAATTTGTCTTCAGAATGTATGGACAAAATAAAAAAAATTTCAGCAAATAAATAAGATATACAATAGTCTCGAGCCAATTTGTCTTCAGAATGTATGGACAAAATAAAAAAATTTCAGCAAATAAATAAGATATACAATAGTCTCCCTTATTCATAGTTTTATTTTCCACAGTTTTAGTTACTGGTGGTCAACAAAGAATGGAAAATATTACATCACTACCATTGAACTTTGGGGCCATTATTAGGTAAAATACGTGTTACTTGAACAAGCACTGTGATACTGCCACCATTGATCTGATAACTGAGACGGTTACTAAGTGACTAACAGCAATCCAGGCAGGACAGACAGGATGGTGTTGGTGTCATATTTCATTATGCTACTCAGAAGGGTGCACAATTTAAAACTTATAAATTCTCTATTTCCAGAATTCTTTTATTTACATCATAATACCTACATCATTCACCTCCCTTCATCTCATCACATAGGCATTATATCATCTCACATCATTACAAGAAGAAGGATAAGTACTGTGTAATCAGATAATTTCAGAGAGACACAGACCACATGCTCATTTTATTACAGCATATTGTTATAGTTGTTCCGTTTTATTAACAGATACTGTTAATCTCTTAATGTGCCTAATTAATAAATTAAACTTCATCATAAGTATGTATGTATAAAACAAAAGTATAACATATATATGGCTTGGTGCTATCTGTGATTTCAGGCATCAACTGGGACTTTGGAACACATCCCCTAGGATCAGAAGACTTCCGTATCTGTGTGTATTCTTGTTGAGTGACAGAAAAAAAGAGTTGTTTCATATGCATTAACTTGGAAGCATAGAAGACACCCTAAAAGATAATGTTGTTTTGAGCTGGCATAGTCTGCAGGAATCAGTGTTCTTTTTGGGCTATATTTTTGTGATACATTTAACTCATGCTAAGCACCATAAAATTTTATGGCCCAGAGACTGACAGCCAATTCCTCTTGGGAATGTATCCATCCACCCTCTATGGCTGATTCTTTCTGATCTCTAAGCCTGCTCTGAGGCACTCACTCAGGAAAACTTTTATCAAGTGTTCATAAAAACCTGAGATCGACCTCTCGCTGCAGATTAGAATATCATCAGAAGATTTCTGTAAGCCATGGAAGGCTTTTCTCTTCCTCAGCGGAGAGAAGATGAATGGTTTTACAAATCCCTGAGGAGACTCTGTGGAGCTATAGACAAAGATGGAAGATCTTCCCATTGAAGCCACAGGGCTCCATCTTAGCTCTGGCATTATAACGCAAAGTCTGGAAAGAACAAAGTCAAGAAGCATGCGTTTAGTACAGTATCCCTTTATTTGGTAGGCCAGTGTGCTGGAATTTTCATCAATACCCAATTGTCTTCTCCTGGCCACATACCGGGTGATAGGATGATAGAAAACAAACAAAATGAAGCAAAGTCACATAAGTACTTCTGGCCAATGAAATGTGAGCCTAGGCAGGTACTAGCTGGTGTATTTTTTTTCATGTTCCTTTTCTCTGCGGCAGGGATTGCAGAAGCTTGTGTTTAGACGGAGACGCTGCAAGATCAAAGCATCTTGAAATGTATGTACCATGTGAAAGACAGAAACTCTGGAATGCCTCTCAGACCTGCAGCAGAGTTTGAGTACAAGGGAAGAAAGCTGTTATTGCATCAAGCCACCCAAATATGTGGTTTTGTTCCTGTAGCATAATCTATCCTGATTAATATATGTAGCAACTTCATGGTGCTATATTTATCAAGATTCTCCTGCTTCTAATGAATCTATCCAACGGATCTGCTTTTTACAGTTGGTACTTCAGAATCGTGGAGCAAAAATAGATAATTTCATTGTAAACCCCATCAGCCTCATCATCTTCATGGATCTTTGTAAATACCATTTGTTTACCAGGTAGAGACCAATTATCAGCTAAAACGGAGGACCAACCTGTTCAATTTCCAAAGGTATAAGCAATATTGTTTGTTAAATATCCCTTTCTTAATCAATTTTGGAAAGGCTTACCTTATCATGTATCAAGAATTTTGGTTTTTTTTAAATCAATTCTCAGTTTTCTACCACTGTTTTATACATTTCAGATTCAGTAACATCGGCCTCCTTCAATTGTCACTATTATTGATAAAATACCCTTCTTTATCTCTCATTACTTTTGTCCCAAATTAATTTTAGAATTATTTAATTCAAAACTATATTGGGATTTAAGTTGCAGTTGTGCTAATTTTATAAGGTAAATTAGAAATATTAAACATTTATATAATATTTAGCTGAAATATTCAAGTATGTGGTTTGTCTCCATCAATTCTGCCTCTTTATTTATCCCAATAAAATGTTATAGTTCCATTTACAAAGATCTAGTGTACCTCATATTAGGTTTAGCCCTAATTATTTTAGATAATTTAATTTTATTATAAATGGAATCTTCATTATTGTTGTTGCTGGTTTAATGGGATGCTTTTATCTTTGTTATATCTATTTTATTTTGGCTCCTTTATTAAAGTCATAAACTTGAATGCAAATCAAACATTTTAATTAAGCTAAATCCCTACTAGATTGGTGGAATCCAACCCCATGAACTTACTATTACAAATGCTCATAGCAGCGGTATTTGTAATAGTACAAAACTGGAAACGATTCAAATGTAAATCAAAAGAGAAATAAATAATTAGCATATTCATACAATGGAATACTGCAATTGACAAAGAGAAGTAACTAGTTATCACTCAACTACATGTTGAGTGAAAGATGCTGAATAATAAAAGATCCTTTATGAGTCTACTCACATGAAGGTCAAAAACAGGCAAAACTAATCTAGGCCGATAGAAATCAAAATATTGGTTATCTGCAAAGAAGTCTTGACTGAGAAGGGACAAAAGGAGATTTCTGGGTAGATGGAAATGTTCTGTATCTTGAGTTGAATAATGTTTACATGGGTGTATGCATATAAGCTATACATTTTTGTCCATTTTGCTATATGAAAGTTATACCTAATTAAAACACATATACACACAACCTGCAGAACTAATCTAATGGTGATACAATTAAAAAGAGGATGGCATTTACTGGGAAGGGCATTTACTGGGAAGTTACTGGGAAGGAAACTTCTGGGGTGGTGATCTGGCTGTTGGATATTTGAGAGTCATTACGGGTAAAAGCTGGACATAGCAGTTTTGTATACTCATGTATTTTTTATCTCAATGAAAGCATCTTTAAGTTAACAAATTATTTTGAATTAATCCTTTTGAATTTTCCTGGTGTACAATAATAATACTCTGTATTAGTTTTAATTTTATTTATATCCTTAATTCTATTTACCAGAAATTTTTAAATACTGCCTTTTGTTTCATTTGTAAAGGCACATATCTACCAATATTGACCATAAAATAACTTTCGATAGAAAATGTATAATTTGTTATATTAAACAATATTCCTCTTTAACAAAGAATATTGTAACAAACTTAAAAGGCAAATGAACAACTAGGATTTCATATTTGTACCATTTAATATCATCAAAATAGTATAGAGCTTAGAAGTCAGTATAAAATGAACAAAACATCTTAATGAGAAATGTCTTGAAAGTGTCATTTATTAAAAGCTTCAAATATTCGACTGAAATATTACAAATGTGTTCATATAATCTCACTAATAACCCAAGAAACAAATTCAAATAGGAAATTGTTTTACCTGTTAAATTGATTATAGCTAATTAGTTAATGGTCCAGGCTCTGGAGTTATACTGACTCACTCCTTGCTATGACTCAATGTCTTTATAGATATGAACTGGGGAAATAACACTGATAACATATAGTATTTATGTAAGGACTTCGTTAATATTCATAATGCCCCTGTTGACTTGCCTGGCATATAATCTGTGCTTAACAAATGCCAACTGTTGTTGTTATCATCGTGATTCTTATTTTTGGAAAAAATGAGAAAATTGATATTATTCTGTAATGACAAAGATAGGAAAACAGTGACAGTGAGTAAAATTGTTACATTCATTCTGGAGGGCCAGTTTGTGAATATGTATCAACATTTTAAATGTGCACACCTTGAAACTCAGGAACTTTAATTCTACAGATTCACCTTTCTTAAAAAAAAAAAGACAGTCCTTTTTTAAAGAGAAAACATACAAAGATATGTCCATTGCAGCATTTTTATAAAACAAACAAAAAAATCATAAATATCCTAAAGAACACCACTACTTCTCTATTCTTCTTAGCCACATGAGATCTTCTAAAGATTCTTGAATATACCAGCTATGTTCCTGACTTAGGGCCTTTGTCCTGGCCATTCCCTCAGTCTAGAAAATTATTTCCCCCAAATCTACATCTCATTCTCTCTCCTCTTTGTTGCATTTCCTTACATATCACATTATCAGTGAGGCCTTCTCTGGGAAAATACTGGTGATCATCTTGGCATTGTGTGTTTCTTTATAATTTTCTTGAAGGAAAAAGGAAGTCAGCTAGCTTCTATGCTGCCATTTTGGAACTAGAAGTCTCTTATTGTTGAGTTTTAAGAGTTCTTTGTGTATTTTGGATAACAGTTCTTTATCAGATGTGTCTTTTGCAAATATTTTCTCTGTTGATGACTTGTCTTCTAATTCTCTTGACTTTGTCCTTCACAGAGGGGACTTCCAAAAAATTTAATGAAGTCCAGCTTATCAAATCTTTCTTCCATAGATCATACCTTTGGTGTTATATCTAAAAATGTATCACCATACCCTCGGACTTGTAGGGTTTGTCCTGTTATTTCCCAGGAGTTTTATAGTTTCAAATTTTACATGTAGGTCTATAACACTTTATGAATTCATTTTTATGAAGAATGTACATTTGTGTCTAGATTTTTTTCTGGAGTGTGGTGTACAGATATTCTGGTACCATTTATTGAAAACAGTATCTTTGCTCGATTGTACTGTCTTTGTTTCTTTGTCAAAGTTTAGACCCTACATTATGTGGGTCTATTTCTAGGCTCTATTCTGTTCTATTGATCTATTTGTCTAGTTGTTCAACAATAACACCACCTTAATTACTGTAGCTTTATAAAAACTCTTGATGTAGAGTAGCATCAGCCCTCAAACTTTGTTATTCTTCAGTATTGAGTTGATTATTCTGTATATTTTGCCTCTGTTTAAACTTTAGAATCCACTGTCAACATCCACAAAATAGCTTGATGGGATTTTGGTTGGAACTGTATTGAATCTATAAATCAAGTTGGAAAGACTGACATATTGACCATAATGAGTCTACCTATCCATAAACATAGAATTTCATCCCATATATTTGGTTCTTCTTTGATACCTTTTATCAGATATCAGATTTTTTAGTTTTTCTCATGTAAATCCTATAATATTTTGTTAGATTTATACCTAAGTATTTAATGTTTAGGGATGCTGATCTAAATGGTAATGTGTTTTTACTTTCAAATTCTATTCATTTATCATTGGTGTACAGGGAAATAATTAACATTTTGTATATTACCCTGGTATCCTGCAATCTTACTATAACTGCTTATTAGTACCAGAAATTTGTTGTTTGTTTATTTTTTGTCAGTTCTTTTGGATTTTCTGTACAGATGATCATTTTCTATACACATTTTAATGTATGTCATCTGTTAATAAAAACAGTTTTATGTTATTTTTCCCAATCTGAAAGCCTTTATTTACCTTTCTTGTCTTAGGCATTAGTCAGGATTTTTAGCATGACTTTGAAATCCACTGGTGAGAGGGACATCTTTGCCTTGTTCTGATCTTAGCAGTAAAGCTTCCAGTTTCTTAACATTAAGTATGATGTTAACTGTGGGGTTTTTGTAGATGTTTATCAAGTTGATGAAGTTCCTATCTATTCCTAGTTAGATGAGAGTTTTTTATCATGAATGCATTTTGGATTTTGTCAAATGTTTTTCATCTAGTGATATGAGCATGATTATTCTTTAGTCTGCTGATATGATGGATTACATTAATTATGCTAATTGATTTTTCTAATGTTGAACCAGCCTTACATACCTGGATAAATCACACCGAGTCATGGTGTGTACACTTTTTATAGCTTAAAGTATTCAGTTTGCTAATATTTTGATGAGGATTTTTGTATCTATGTTCATGAGCGACATTGGTCTGTAGTTTTCTTTTCTTGTAATGTCTTTGGTTTTAGTGTTAGGGTAATGTGAACCACACAGATTCAGTTAGGAAGTAGCCCTCTGCTTCTATGTTCTGGGAAATGTTATGGAGAATTGGTAAAAAGGCTTTCTTAAATGTTTGGTAGAATTCCCAGTAATCCCATGTGAGCCTGGTGTGTACTCTGTGGCTGAAGGTTATTAATAGTTATAGGCCTACTAGAATTGTTTATTTGTTCTTATCTGAGTTTTGGCAGATTGTATCTTTCAAGGAGTTGGTCCATTTCATTTAGTTTATCTAACTGGTGAGCATATAATTGTATAAAATATTCCTTTATTATTATTTTAATGTCCATCGTGTCTGTAATAATGCCTCCTCTTTCATTTCTGATTATTTTAATTTGTCTTCTCTTTTTTTCTTAGTCTGGCTGTAGACTTATTGATTTTATTGGTCTCACTTTTTTTCTGGACCTAAGAAGAGCTGATGATTTTTCAGTTTTTAAATTTTGTAAAATTGATATATAATGGATGTACATATTTGGAAGGTACATGTGATAATTTCATATGTTCATATAATTTGTAATTCAGTGTAATTGAAAAACCCATTGCCTTAAATATTTGTCTTTTTTACGCTAGAAACATTCAAATTACTCTCTTCTAGCTATTTCAAAATATAAAATAGATTACAATAAACTATAGTCACCCTACTGATCTATTGAACACTGGGTTTTACTGCTTTTATCTAACTGCATGTTTATAATCAGCCTCTCTTCATCTCCCTCTTTCCCCATCCTTACCAGCCTCTGGTAACCACTTTTGAACTCCTTACATACTGGACTGAAAACCAGAAGTTTGCTATTTAATTTTCTGCTTTCTTTTTATTCTGTCTTTATTTCTCCATTTTATTTTCTCGTTTTCTGCGGGTTACTTGAACTTTTTTAAAATT
Source organism: Homo sapiens (assembly GCF_000001405.40). NCBI lineage: Eukaryota > Metazoa > Chordata > Mammalia > Primates > Hominidae > Homo > Homo sapiens. The sequence continues at coordinate 83,655,674 of NC_000010.11, forward strand.
CCATTTTGATGTAACTATAACTTTTTGGTAATTCAGTGGCTTTTATTAAATATATTTAAGGTGTACAAGTGATTTTTTATATACCTAGGAATATGATTATGACAGTCATGCCAAATAACATACCCATCATCTCACACAATTATGGTGAAACCACCTTAAATCTTTTTTTTTTTTTTTTTTTTTTTTTTTGGGAGACAGAGTCTTGCTCTGTCTCCCAGGCTGGAGTGCAGTGGCAAGATCTTGGCTCACTGCAAGCTCTGCCTCCTGGTCCGATTCACACCATTCTCCTGCCTCAGCCTCCAGAGTAGCTGGGACTACAGGTGCCCACCACAATGCCCGGCTAATTTTTTGTATTTTTAGTAGAGACAGGGTTTCACCATGTTAGCCAAGATGGTCTCGATCTTCTGACCTCATGATCCGCCCGCCTCGGCCCCCCAAATTGCTGGGATTACAGGTGTGAGCCACTGCACCCAGCCTTAAATCTACTCTTTTAGCAAATTTACAGTATACAATACAATATTATTAACTTTAGTCTTTATACTGTTCATTGACTCTCCAGACTTATTTGTCCCACATAACTGCAACTTTGTGCCCTTTAATATACATCTCCCATTTCTCTTATTTTCCTACCCTTGGTAACCACCTTCTACACTCTTTCTGTTGGGCTTTCTGTTTTTCATTTGTTTCAAATGTATTTATATTGCTCACTTAAGCAATTTTAGCATGATTTCTTCAAAAATCGTCACCAGATTATTCTTACAGTTCTGTCATCTCATTGTTGACATCTCTGTATTTCTTTTTTTCATTAAGTCTAAGATCTTCCTGATATTTAATATGACGAATGATACTTGATTGAAACCTGGACATTTTGTTTTATGTTATATGAGACTGTGAATCATATGTAAGATTTCTACTTTAGCTGCATTTCCTTGATGTCAGCCCAACAGGAAAAGAAAGTAGGTCACTTCATTAATGCCAGGTGGAAGCTGAAGTCCAGGCACCCTACTCAGCCTCCATAAACAGGAAATCAGGGGACTTTTCCTTACTTCTTGATAGGGATGGGAGTTCTAGCTCCCCACATGGTCTCCACTGACACTATAAGGGGTGGGAGCTTCTTACTGCTAGCAATGATGAACGTCCTGACTCTCCAACAGGACTCTTCTGAAAGCTCAATAACAGAAATAGGAAGGAGTATATTTCTGGTTGGGGTGAAAGGACGGATTCCTCATGTAGTTTCTGCTACACCATTAAGGGAACAGGGTGTATGCTTGTTACTGGCTAGTGAAGAAGAAGTAGGCATCTCTTCTAGCCTTTATAGATTGGATTTGGCAAGGAAAGCACTTCATTGGTCAACTAATCCAGAGATTCTGGGTGGGCTGGCTGGTGGTTGCTGCTGGAGTCTTTGGGCAGGCTGGCCTGGTTCCTGGGTGAGCAGGTGGGTGGGCCTGGTGCCTGGGTCCACCAAGATAGGACTGGAGCCTGAGTGCAAAGTGGTGGGCCTGGATCTTGGGTTGTTAAGGTCAGTCCTGGATCCTGGTTCTGCAGGGGCTTACTAGGTGCCAGGGTGGCCTTGGCACCTGGGTCTGGGGGATGGTCCTGAATTCTGGGTCTGCAAAGCCAGCTTGGTGCTGGGGAGGGCCAGAAACCTGAGTCCACAGGAACAGGCTTGTGTCCTGTGTTCTCAGGTGCTGGCCTAGATCTGTAGAGGTGGTTCTGAAGCCTGATTCACAGGGACTGGCCCAGCACTGAGATATACTGGAATAGGCCTTTACCTTGAATCTGCTGGAGTGGGCCTGAACCCTGGGCCCACCAGAGCCTAGGGCCTCAGGGGCTGGCCTGATGCCTGGTTTTATGGCTGCTGATCTTGTGCCTGCAGCCACAGCATCTGGCCTGATGCTAAGGTGGGCATGGAGACTGGGTTCACAGAGCTGAGCCTGGAGCTTGGGTCTGCACAGGCAAGCCTAGGTCCTGGGGCCAGAGGGGCTATTCTGGCTTTGGTGTGCCTGGAGCCTGGGGATTTGAGGGTCAACCTGCTACTGGGGCAGCCTGGCACTGGTACAGGCCTGGGGCCTAAGTCTGCAGGGGCTGGCCTGGTGCTAGTGTGGGCCTGGAGGCTGAGTCCACAGATGCCTGCCTGGAGCTTGGGACCACTGGGGCTGGCCTAGTACCAGGGTTGACTGGGGTGGTCCTGGAGCTGGGATCCCTGGAGAAGTATAGTGCTTACTTCCCTCTTTTTTCCCTAAGCAGAGAGTGTCTCTCTTCACACTGGGATTGGGGAGCAGGTGATACAGGCCTTATGAAACTCTTTCCTACCCTCTTCAATGAATCTTATTCCTGTGCTCCACCCAGGTGCTTTAACCACTCACCTGGATTCCTTGCCTTTTGCAAAGGTATTTTCGGATGTGGACAGTTGTTCAAATTGATGTTTCTGTAAGGAGATGGGCACTAGAAAGTCCTATTCCAACATCTTTTTGCCAGAGAACATCTTTAAAAGCTTTGTTTTCATTTTTGGTTTAACCTGTTATAATCTAGAGGTGTGTTTTGTTAATATTTAATGATTTTTTGCTATAAATTTTTATTTTTATTTCTTTTATGACCTAATGTATGCTTAGTTTTGAAAATGTTTCATTTATTCTTGAAAAGAAAGTACAATCCCTGCTCTTTGAGTGGAAGGTTTAGAGAAATGACTCTAAGATTTCATTTTTGCCTGTGCTGGAACCCTAAACATTTGGCAAACGTGGGGACAATTTTTATGCCAATTTCTCCTCCTAACAGGATGCAAACTTGACCTATCTTCTTCTGGTAAACACACATATAGTGCATTGTTCATGCTCTGGGCAGGTTGCTTATTTTCCTGCTGAGTTCCCAAGTTGTGGGTGTTTTTTTGTGTGTGTTGGGTTTTTTTCTTTTTTCTTTAGAAACAGTGCTTCTTATTCTGTCACCCAGGCTAGTGTGCAGTGCTGCCATCACAGCTCACTGCAGCCTCCCACTCCTGGGCTCAAGCAATTCTCCTGCCTCAGACTCCAAAGTAGCTGGGACTACAGGCCCACACCACCATATCCATCTAATATGTTTTTATTTTGTTTTGTAAAGATGGGGTCTCACTATGTTGCCCAGGCTGGTCTCAAACTCCTAGGCTCAAAGAATCCTCTTGCCTCAGCCCCCTAAAGAGCTTGGATTACAAGTGTGAGCCGCTGCACTTGGCCAGGGTAGATTTTTTGTGTCTCCCTTCAATAATTAAATGTCATATCCAGGTTCCTACCTTTAAGAAGGGAACTTGGTTCCATCTCTGGCTTATACATGGTTGGTATTTATTAGGCACCAAAACTTCAGCTTCTAGGATACATTTGGTCCTCTTACTTCTGTGCACAGCTAAGTTCCACTTTCTGATCATTATTTTAGATTTGAGTTTCCATTTCATGTAGCATTGAGCATTTCTTTTTATTTATTTATTTTTTGCTTTAGTGCTCAGATACGTTGTTTTAAATAATTGTTTTGCATTCATTTTTTACATATTTAGAATGAAGTCAGATTTTTCTGATCTACTTAACCTCCTCATTGAGAAAAAGTGTTTTGGCTTTGCACTCCAGGTTGGGCTATCTGATGTTAAGATCTAGCCTATATTGAATGCCACATGTTCCGTCAGGTCATGAAGAATAGTAAATAAAGTAACTAACATTTCTTATGCTATTATTGAGAATTCTGAGTCTAAAGTTCCACCTCTGTGTCCTTTCATAGATGGTGTGGCATGGGGGATTGCAGAGTGCAGATTGGAGTGTGGATTCAGGAGCAAAACTGCATTATTTCAAATCCTAGCTCTGATATTAACCACATGACCTTGGGCAAATTACATAGCCTCTTCTTTTCTCATCTGTGTAATGGGGTCAAAATATTTACCTATTTCATGTGCTTTTGTGTAAAAATCAGATTATACTATAAGGTAAATGTAACAATGCTCAAAATATAGTATAGACTTGATGACTCAGTTATGATTCTGTGTCAATGCACAGCAGTCTCTACGTCTTTTAATCCTGTTACTCTGATAACTTACATATTGTTATGGTTCCATCACACACTGCCTAGCACAAAATAGACTCTTCCCAAAAAATGTGTTGAATAGATAACAGAATTATCAATATTTAAGTAAGGAAATAAAACTGAATGTGGGCAGACAATTCAAGATGTGTCACATAGTATAGACCAGAGTTTTGATGGCTGTCTGTTTTACTATTGATAACTAGGATTTCATCAGCACATGGAAACATCTCTCTGGCCAGCTGTATCACCACGAATAAGGAAGAGTGTTCTGCTATAAGCATCTACATTTCTCTTCACCACTTTTTACTCTACTGTTTTTTTTAAATATTCCTCTTCTCTGTGATGCAAAAGACATTCATTATCTTTTATTATCTTCCTTCTTTCTCTGGACTTCTAAAATTGCCTGCTCTCTTGTCTTATACCAGTGTTTTTTTTTTTTTTCTTTAATGTGACTTCAATGGGTGTTTTTTCTCCTTCTCTCTTCTCTAGATCAATAGTCTCTGTCCCCCTCACCTGATAATTCTACTAGCTTTCATTTTCAAGTCTCTTAAAGCCTTAGGGGAGAAATCCATTTGAACCTCTTCTTTTTATAACGTTTTGTCTTTCTCCAAAGCAGAGCAGTTTTCTTTACTCAGTGGCAATTTTGTCCTTTCTGATGTCCTTTCTGCTGAGGTTTCTGTATCTGCAGGGGCTGCGACAACCCTTGGCCAGATGCTAGGATGTTAAGAAAATTTAAAGTTCATATTAGAGGTGAGCCTGGTGAGTTTCTAATGTGATCACTGCTGGTATCCTCTCAGGTTTCTATTAGGGAATCCTGCATTTTATTACAAGAAGAGTTCTCTTCTTGGGCCTCTCTTTCTCTGGGCCTCTTTTTCACTGTTTTGATTTACATGAAAGCTATGCTAACCCCAGGATTCCCTGATAGTGGAAAGGTGAGAGACCCATTTTCTTCATGATGTAATGAGAGACCACCACACAGCCAGTGCCACTTGTGATAAAGTCTAGACTGGTGGGTATGCCTGGAAAACCACAACATGGGAAAAATGCAACTTACCCTGAATCATTTATCTTTATACTTCCTTAAACTTCTGTAAGATCAAATCACACACCCTAATGCTCTACCTCTCTTAGAGAAAGAAAAAAATCTGACATCAGAGAAAGGAGAATCCTATAATCAGAAAGGAAAATCTACTGATCATTTTTTGTGTTCCTAATGTTATGAACTGGACTGTGTCTCCCCAAAATTCACAAGTTGAAGTCCTAACCCCAAGTATCTCAGAATGTGACTATATGAGGCCATTAAAATGGGGACTCTAATTCAATCTGATGGGTTTTCTTATAAGAAAAGAAAATGCATACACAAAAACAGACACTAAGAATGTGCACAAAGAAAAGCTCATATGAGAACACAGAGAAAAGATGGCCATCTGCGAGCCAAGAAGAGAGGCCTCAGAAGAAATGAGCTCTGCCAACACCTTGATCTTGGACTTCCAGCCTCCAGACTGTGAATGAATAAATGTCTGTTGCTGAAGCCATGCAGTCTGTGGTATTTTGTTATTACAGCCCCACCAAACTAATACAAATAGTATTGTCATTCCTAGTGCCTGTTAAAACAATCATCACTGAGGTTGCTTTGATGTCCCCATTCTATGGATAAAATGTATGAACCTCACCAATGTTAAGTAATTTTTCTGCAATACCAGGGCTAGAATTCAAGTGCAGAGAAAGGTAGCCTTGTATTTACAGCATATTCTTACCCTTTCTCACCCTGCTTCCTCCACAATTCACAGGTAGCCAGAACTCTCTTTATCAGAGAACCACCTCTCTCAGTCTTTGGACACCAGAGAAAGCTAAGGAGTGCCTTTTGTTTGGGGACCCAGGTTTGAAAACTCCTACAGACAGGTATCAACACAGCCTAGTGTCAGGCCTCTGGCTTTTCCAATGCTTGAGGAAGACTTGTCTGTTACACTAGGATCCGTTCTTTCCAAACCCAGAGACAATCTCTGCTGTGTCTGAGAATAGGAACTGGCCCACTAGAACCTCACCTCTGCTGCGGCCACATGGCTTAGCCTGAAGCCTCGGCCCACCCCTTCGTTAGGTTTGGCCACTAGACATTCTTGGACCAGCAGAAAGGGAGCAGATGTGATGACAACCATGTCACAGCAGAGGTTTCATGAGACGTTTTATGGTTCTGGTGATTTGTGCTCTTTTCCTTCTCCCACAATACGGGGCAGCCAACAAAATGTAACATTAGCAGGGAATCCACGTTACATTCTGTAAGCCTCGGAGATTTGGGGTTGTTTTTACCTCTGCAGCAAAGCTAATTGGACCATGATATTCACACTGGCCCTCTCATTGTGTCAAATACACTGATGCACCGATGGTTTATGCTGCCTAGGGAACTCTCCCATTTGATCCACACACGTTTTTACTTTTTGTTATTCAGATTTTTAGGCAACTACTCCTTATTCATAGACTATTCTCTTCCATTATTTTCTACTAAGATTTAATGGTCACTGAAATTGCATTAGGTATACATTTGTTAACTTGTTTATTGCTTGTTTTCTCCAGACTGTAGGTTCATGAGAATACGTGTAGTGGTTAAGAACACAGATGTGTTAGTCCAGGTGCCTCCTGCATTATAATTCTGGCACCAACGCTGGTCAGCTCTGTGACACTGGGAATGCTATTTAACTTAATGGACTTTCGTTGCCTTATTTATAAAGTTTTAATAAAACTAGAATAGAACTCATAGGGTTGCTTTAGGACTAAATGAGTTAGCAGGTACAAAGCACTCAGCACAGTGCCTGGCACATAGTAAGCACTTGAGGAAGTCTGATATTATTATTAGTGTTGGATGCCATGGCATCCAGCTCTGATAACACCCCCAGGATAATGTAGGAGTTTAATAATTTTTTGATAAATGGGTGGATAGATGGATGGAAGGTTGGGAGATTGCCATGAAGATTTAGGAAATGTTGCTGACAGAGAATAATATATCATAGTTGAGAGTCAGTGACAATCAGGTGGAAGTCTAATGTACACAAAATGTTTAGATTGATTCTTGACAATTAGTCATCAAGATAATGATATTAACAATAACAACAGATATCAATACTACCCTATATTTAGCATCTACTTTTGTTACCTATATTATTACATGATTGTAAAAGGGCTATAATATTTTTAGGTAGGACACAGACTTGGTGAGAAGTTACCTGGGCTTACTCAAAAGTTCACAGATTATTGAAGCTGGACTTCGAATGTATTCTTCTTTGACTACGTAATACTGTCATGTGCTTATTTAAGTGATTACTTCTTTCTTATCTTCTAGTCCTGCTTTACTAAGATGATTCATGTTGTCAATCTTAGTCTGATAAACAACAGTATCAATTTCTTTGAATCAACCAATGTTCTGAATCATAGAACAGGTGAAATAAAGAATCCCATCCCAGCTTCGTGGTAAGATCCATGATGGTCACAGAAAAGCTAGCAGTGATCTGCCGAATAGGTGTGGCTGTGTGCTCCTTCTACTGCCTGCTTCCTGGTCACCCTCCATGCTAATACTGATGGACTGTCCACTCTTTGGTGGTCACTCTGCTGCAAATAAGTGTTCCAGAAGAAACAACAGAGAAATGAGATATGTCCCTGGCTCTTTAGGATTGAAACTGTTGAAATAACTGCTAATCCTGAAACGAAAGTAGTTGGAATGTGCTCTTTCCTTTACTTTCTTTTCTAATAATTACATGAATCTTTGCTGTACATATAAATGGGGGCACCAAAACTTTTTGAATGTACCCAAGATTACACAGCAGAGGAAGCCATGTGGCTAGGATTCAGATACTGGAAGGCTCTGTTCACTTTCTACTGTGTCTCTACTGTTAGGTATGAGGAACACCTCATTTTTTCCCATTTAATAGTGAAACCAGGTCTAAAGGCAAAGCTGGTCAGAGATATACACAGAAAGTAGCATAGTGACAAATGCATCTATAGCATGACCATTTCCTAAGGGGTGTGGATTCCTGCATAGAACACAGCTGCAGCAATTAAAGGATCAGTTGATGCTCCGGTCTGTTCAATTGCATGGTTCTCAGTGGCCCTGTGTTTGAAGTTTCCTCTCTGCACATTGCATTTGGGTAGCCCACGTGTGGCCTGAAGCCTCTCCCTAACTGCTGTGTTTTTGATAGTCCTTACTAGGTGTGCAGATCATGCATTCCAAGTGTAACAGTGGCCACATCCCCTCACTGAACACCAGCTTCTTTGACCTCTCCCCCCTTGCTGTTTCCAATATGCAGTTTTTCAGAAACACAGCATTGACTCTGGGCCATAAATCATGGCCAACTTGGTGGCATTCACTTCCCTCCAAAGGTGGACACATGGCAGGCTACCCTCTGCTCTGCAGAGAAGCTGCCGAAGAGTCACATTGCTTCAGCATTATAAATCAGTACCAGGCATGCGACAGCATTCTGATAGCAGGACAATTATTGTCCTAGAAATAAGAAATGCAAATTTCTCTTTCCTCATTGTGGAGGCAACCAGCAGACTTATTCTATGATGTTGATCAATGACTTTAATCTATACCCGCCTTCTTCCTTGCAGCTCAGCACTGAGGCACTTTTTGATTTCTCTAGGTGTCATGTGAGTCATTTGGGCCACCTTGAAGGGGTGGCTATTAAAATGGTAAGTTTTGGAGAGAAATTTTAATTGTAACTATTTCACCTGAAAACTGAATCCTGGAGGCTTCAACACTTAGGAGCTGTGTGACCTTGACAATTTAGTTGGCCTCTCTAAGTGAATTTCTTATATGACAAATGCAGACAAAAATATCTATAGCAGAAGCTGGCTTTGTTCTGTAAACTGGGAGAATTGCTCATTTTGTGTTTACTACTATGTATTTAGTATTATTTGGCCACAGTGGTCAGGTAAGAAGTGATGAAAAAGTGAATCTGTACTAATGAATCAATCAAAGCACCAGAAAAATAGGAATAGATTCTCTATCAAGAGATTGTGCAACTTTATTTTTCATATAGTAATTGACAAGCGGGTCTAGCTGAAGAAAACATAGATGATAATACCAGAGAAAAAGGAGACCAGCATGAACCGCACACCTGCTAGGTTTCAGTCACTGTCTAGGACCATTACCACATGTAAATAACCTCCATTATCCTTCAATTTCTTCAACCAAACATGAAGTTTCTGGATTGTTTTAATAACATTATTGGCAAGCAGGTTACATAAAGATATATTCTACCTATAAGTCACATGGTATTTACATAAGATCACAAATTTGATGATTTGATGTAGAAATACTGGGTGTTGGAAGAAAATATATGGTAAGAAATCCATTTGAGTTCATGCCAATGTGGACCATAGATGCATCAAACAGGAGTAATTAAAGGGCTAGAGACCATAAAATGTCCAAACTGTGCCAGGAGAGGAGATGAACACAAATCAACCTCTCTGACTGTGAGTAAAGCTGCAATGGTTGGCTCATAATTTTATCTTGTCTAATAGCGCCACAGTTGTCCATTAAGAGATATGGCTATTGGAGCCAGTTGCAGCAGCTCACACCTGTAATCCCAGTAATTCTTCTCCTTTACTAAGGAGTTCAAGGTCAGCCTGGGCAACATAGCAAGACCCTGTCTCTAAAAAATTAAAAAAATAATTAGTTGGGCATGGTGTGCCTGCCTATAGTCCCAGCTACTTGGGAGGCTGAGGCAGGAAGGTGGCTTGAATCCAGGAGTTTGAGGCTGCAGTGAACTATGATCACCACTGCACTCTAGCCTGGGTGACAGAGTAAGACCCTATCTCTAAAAATTAATTAATTACAAAATAACTTTAAAAACAAATATGATTATTATGGTCATAGAAAGATGCTAAACTGTCCCCTTTCTGGATACATTCTATTCTGTATCCAAGGACATCATAAAGTTTTGAGATAATAATTTTTGAGAAACGGAGTGGTTTATCTTCCTAACATTATATCAGAAATTCAAGCAGGCATTTCAACAAAGGAGAGCCTTGCAGTACTTAAACTTCAGTTGCATCTTGTTGCAAGAAAGTTGATGTCTTTATGAAAGGCCTCACAAGGTCACTAAGACCAGAAATATTCTGCCTCTGCTGGATAACTGATGGATCAGTTGATCACAAAGAAAGCTGAGGATGCAGAGAGGCCTATTCAAAGCTTTGGATTCACTATGAAAGAGTCTTGCAAATAAAGAAATTGTCTATGCACACTCTCCACTGCCAACTAGCTGGTCATGATGAATTATCAGGACAATAAATTGTGAATATATATGGGAAGGGAGTGAGGATAATAATTAGAGACATTTTCTGAATTTTTGAGATCCATGAGAAAATAATGTGACTTATGAACTGCATGCTTATGTTCCCCCAAAAATTCATATGTTGAAGCCTTAACTCCCGATATGATTGTATTTGGAGATGGAGTCTTTAGAAGGTAGTTGAGGTTAGATGAGGTCATGAGGGTGGGGGTTCTTATGATGTGATTAGTGCCCTTAGAAGAAGAGACACCAGAGATTCTCTCTCTGCCCCCATGCACACACAGAGAAGAGGTCATGTGAGCACAGAGTGGGATGGCAGTCACCTACAAATCAAGAGATGACGCATCAGATCTACCCTGCCAGAACCTTGACCTTGGTCTTTCACCCTCCAGAATTCTAAGAAATAAATGTCTATTGTGATATTTTGTTATGGCAGCCTGAGCAGACTAAGAAAGTGACCATTAGGGCTATGTCTAAAATCTTCTTTCTAAGTTCTTGCCCCTGAAAAATTAATTTTAGTTTTTATCTGACAGTGGAATAAAGCAGTTGAATGCAGAATGCAATGGACATTTAGCACAATATTCTGATATGTTAAAAGACAAGCACCTTACTTTAAAGGTTTAATCAAGGAAACAGACAGTTGTCTCTGGAACTGTCTGTGGAGCTTGGAGAGGTGTGATGTGGTGGGAGTTGAGAATAGCCCTGATTGTTACAATCACCAGCTAGCTATCTTACTGCCTGCTCAGTGTCCCAGCCTTCTCATCCCTCAGCTCCTGCCTTCAATGACTTCTCCTGGAAATCTCAGTCATGTTGCTTGGTAGCTAGATATATGAAAAGCATAAAGAGAGGATCAGCAGTGTCTGCTCATTCATCTACAAAAAGGCTTTCAAATTCTTTTTCTTGTCTCCCTTTTCGCTATCATCATCCGAAGGCTGTGTCTCATCATTTCTTAGTGTGAAAATATTTCAACATTCCCTGCCCACATGTCCATGACTCATGGTTTTTCTACAACACCAACAACGTATTTATTTCATGGATCTGATCCTTCTACAAAAACCATTGATGGCCACCTTACCAACTGCCTATGCTCCAGCTCTGATTTGTTGGTCCAGCTTCATCTCTGGCCAATACCCTCTCTGACCCCTGGGCAAGCTCCATAATTATACTACCCACCATTGCTAAATGAATCTTTGGCATTCCCACTTGCAGCAGTGGCCTTCCTAAACTTTCCTGTCTCCAATGCCTTTAAACCCCAGTCCCATTACTTATTGTGGTAGGTAGAATAATGACCCTCAAAGATGTCCACAACCTAATTTTCAGAACCTATGAATATGTTGTTATATGGTGAGGGAGAATTAAGGTTGCAGAAGGAATTAAAGTTGCTCAGGAATACAGTTGCCCTTGATATTATCCTGGATTATCCGGAGGGCCTTATGTAATCACAAACGTCCTTTAACATGGAAGAGGGAGGCAGAAGGTCAGTGATACAATGTGAAAACACACAATCGGCCATTGTGGCTTTGAAGATGAAAGAGGTCATAAGCCCAAGAATATGAACAGCCTCCAGAAGCTAAAAAGGCGAAAAAATGGAGTCTTTCCTAGGGACTCCAGAAAGAATATAACCCTGCCAATGTCTTGATTTTTAACCCTGTGTGATCCATTTTGGACTTCTGACTTCCAGAACTGTAAGATAAAAAGCTTGTGTTGTATTAAGTTACTGTGTGATAATTATTAACAGCTAAGAAAGGAAACTAATACACTTGTGTTCATTCATTATTTTATTCATATTGAGAGTCATTTAAGTTCCTCAATTGGCTAAGCGCTGTGGTAGAAACAGAAGTAGAAGATAATGTGCTGGCCCACAGGCATTTAAAATCCACTTTGGAAAGGTAATAACAACTAATGTGTACTGAACACTTGCTCTGATAGTCCTATGCCATAGACTGAATGATTGTGCCCCCTCCCAAAATTTGTATGTTGAAATTCTAACCCTCTATGTGATGGTATTAGGAAGTGAGGCCTTTGATAAGAGATTTTGTCATGAGAGGGAGCCCTCATAAATAGGATTTTTATTTATTTATTAGAGCACTTTTTCATAAGTGCCCTTATAAAAAAAGACCTCAAAGAGCTCCCTCCTCCCTTCCACCATTTGAGATAATAGCGAGAAGATGACCATCTATGAACCAGTTGGCCCTCACTGGACACTGCATCTGCCAGCACCTTGATCTTGATCTTCCCAGCTTCCAGAGCTATGATAAATAAATCTCTGTTCTTTATAAGCCACCCACTTTATGGTATTTTGTTATAGTGGTCCTAGCTGACTAAGACAACATGGCTGTCACATGGTTCATATATTACCTCACTGCACCCTTCCACATCCTTCCACTCTTTGAGTAAAGTAGGCTCAAAGAAGCTAGTAAATTGAGTAAATTCACACAATGGAGGAATTGCCATTTGAACTGAAGTTTAAGTGACTTCACCTAAAGTAACTTAGCAACTTTTAAAATTTAAAAAATTTTTAACTTTGGGGGGTACATAGTGGGTGTATATAATTATGGGGTATCTGAGATATTTTGATACAGGCATTCAATGTGTAATAATCACATCAAAGTTAATGGGGCATCCATCACCTCAAGCATTTATCTTTTGTTAGCTATTTTTTTTAAATAATAAAAGAATAGATAGTGCTTTGGGGTTTCAGAGGGAAAAATACTTTTCGAATTGGCAAAATCAATAATAGTTTCTGGGAGTAAGAAGATTTTGAACCAGATCCGGCTTAGAAGGAACACTATATATTAATTATGATATGCATAGCAAGATGACTATTTAAATAGTCTAGAACTTAATTATGTCTGTATGACTGCTGTTATTATTTTCAGGCTAACTGTCCACCAGGGTTTGCTCTTGGGGCCTACAGGCTGCCCTTAGGCCCTTGCCATGTGCTACCCTCTGTTCACAACAGGGTAATTACTTCATCCTTCATGCAAGCATGGGAATTTCTTTCTGAGGCTTCTTCTTCTTTTAAAGGACTCACCTAATTCATCCTTAATAAATAATGAATTATGCTCATTCATTTTTTATTCATACTGCAAACCATTTAAATTTATCAATTTGCTAAGTTCTGTGGTAGATACAGAAGAAATGACTCACTTAATTAGGCCAGACCCACCCAGGATCATCTTCATTTGTTGAAACTTAAAGTCAACTGATAAGTTTGTAATGAGCTCATAAAAAGAAAACGCTGCATGCCAAATCCAATTCTGATGTAGTGCTTGACATAATGGATATTCTTAGGTCAGGGATATTCTTAGGATAGGCTCTCGAAAGACATTTCCTTGTTGTTGTTGTTGTTGGATTTTTTTCCAACTTTTATTTTAAGTTCAGCGGTACATGTGCAGAATGTGCAGGTTTGTTACATAGGTAAATCTGTGCCACGGTGGTTTGCTGCATAGATCATCCCATCACCATTAAGCCCAGCATCCATTCGCTATTCTTCCTGATGCTCTCCCTCCTCCCACCCCAGTGTGTGTTGTTCCCCTCCACCCATGTGTCCATGTGTTCTCAACATTCGGCTCCCATTTATAAGTGAAAACATGCAGTATTTCGTTTTCTGTTCCTGTTTTAGTTTGTTGAGGACAACAGATGCTGGCAAGGTTGCAGAGAAAGAGGAATGTTTTGCACTGTTGCTCAAGGTATAAATTCAACCATTGTGGAAGACAGTGTGGTGATTCCTCAAGACCTAGAGGCAGAAATACCACTTGACCCAGCAACCCCATTACTGAGTATATACCGAAAGGAATATAAATCATTTTATTATAAAGATACATGCATATGTGTATTCACTGAAGCACTATTCACAATAGCAAAGACATGGAATCAATCTAAATGCCCATGAGTCATAGACTGGATAAAGAAAATGTCATACATATACACCATGGAATACTATGCTGCCATAAAAAGGAATGAGATCATGTTTTTTGCAGGGACACACATTTCTTTGTTGCTAATTCCATCAAAAATAAAAAATAAAATTTGATTGGGAAATATCAATTTTTTCACATTAACATTTTAATGATGTACATTAAATTTTTTGTTGTAAAGATCTATGGGTTTTGACAAAGTGTGTATCATCATGTATATACCATTACAGTATTATACACAATAGTTTTACTTTCCTAAAATCCTGTGTCCTACCTGTTCAACTCTTCCCTCATACCCCTGGCTATTTGCCATCTCTATAATTACGCTTCTTCCAGAATGTCATACAAATTCAATCATATAGTATGTAGCCTTTTCATACTGGCTTATTTCACTTAGGAATATGCTTTTTCTTTTAACTGTTTTTAGAGGAACATGGTCTCACTGTTGTCCATGCTGGTCTCAAACTCGTGGCATTAAGAGATTCTCCTGCCTCAGACTCCCAAAACGCTGAGATTACAGGCAGAAGCCACCATGCCCAGCCAGCAATGTGCATTTAAGATTCATCTATGTCTCTGTGTGGCTAGAAAACTTATTTCTATTTATCCCTGAATCATATTATATTGTAGGCATGTGAAACTATTTATCCATTCACCTAATGAAGGACATCTTGGTTGTTTCCAGTCTTGGTTGTTTCCAGTTTTTAGAGCTATGAAAGTTCAACATCTCCATGAAGATTTTTTGGTAAACTTAAGTGTTCAAATCAGTTGGGTAAATACCTAGATATTGGATCATATTGCAAGACTATGTTTAGCTTTGTAAAAGACTGGCAAACTCTATTTGCATTTGCACCAGCAATGAATGAAGGTCTCATCCATTGCTCCACATTGTGACCCAAAATTGACATTGTCAGTATTTTGGATTTCAGTCATTCTAATAGGTGTGTAATAATCATCTTTGTTTTTAAAAGTCATCTTCCCTGTAATCCCAGGACTTTGGGAGGCTGAGGCAGGCAGATCACAAGGTCAGGAGATCGAGACCTTCCTGGCTAACATGGTGAAACCCCATCTCTAGTAAAAATACAAAAAATTAGCCGGGTGTGGTGGCAGTCGCCTGTAGTCCCAGCTACTCGGGAGGCTGAGGCAGGAGAATGGCGTGAACCCGAGAGGCGGAGCTTGCAGTGAGCTGAGATGATGCCACTGCACTCCAGCCTGGGCGACAGAGAAAGACTCTGTCTCAAAGAATAAAAAAAATAAGGCATCTTCACTGGATATAGAATTCTATGTTCATTTTTTTAAGGATGTTTTGAAAGACGATGTTTAAAAAGTGATGTTTTTAAAACATGATGCTAAAAAGGATAATAAAGATAATTTAAAAATAACGTTACCCAGTCTTCTTGCTTGCACTTTTTTTCTGACAAGAAATCTGCAGTAATCCTTATATCTGTTCCTCTGTGTACAAATGTCTTTTTTTTCTATCTTATCTTAAGATTTTATCTTTATCACTGGTTTTAAGCACTTTAATTATTATGTTTCTGGGTATAGGTTAGTTCATATTCCCTACGTCTGGGGTTTGTTCATCTTTTCTAATAGGTGGTTGTAAAATTTTTATCAAATCTTCAACATTCAGAGGTCAAAAGTTCAAAAAGTTAAAATTTGGCTTTGGCAACATTGTAATACAAAATATCCATTGGATTTATCCCAAATTAAAAGACTTTATAAATTATATATCATGTTTACTTGTTCTATCACGACAGAAACACCAGGGGTCTCAACCAGTGGGCAATAAGAATTCATCAGGCAACACAGTGGCATGAGCAGTAGCAGATGGTTCCTTCACTCTATGAAGAAAGGCAGCTGCCTAACCTTGAGAATTTTCCTAATAAAAGCTTTTTTTGTAGTTTTCCCCTATTCCTAGTACACTAAGATGGCACTGTATTATGATGTGTCACTTCAGACACACTGCTTATGCTCTCAGCTCTGCCCCTTCGAGTTGCTGCACAACTCAAGGGGACATCATTCATATTGCAGAATATTAGAAAATAGTTGTTCTTGTTACTAGGCACTTTTTGGAGCTGCACTTTTTAGGGTTTTAATATGCATAAGTGGAAGGATTAGTATGAAGGTATTAAATGAACAAACTATAACTTCAACAAATAGGAGCAACTTTTTGCCTGGCTTCAATTCTAGATGGGATCTAGAATAAAATCAAGGAACCATGGGATGGTATAAAATAAGCAATCGGAATAAGCACAGTTAAAGTTAACATATTGTAAAGGTTATAGTTAGAATCTGGTGTCAACAAATGGACTTTGATTAAGGTTCTGGCTCTGTCGTATACTGGATGTACTGGAGTTAAGGGGCTTCAGTAAAATAATAGTACCTTGCTAATGGAGCTAGCAATGTTGAATCGCTATTATAATGTCTGAATGAAATGGTGCAGCCTTAAGTCCTCTCAGAAAATTGCCTGATATACATTGATCCCTCAAAAAGTGGTAGTTATTATTTATTAGACAATGAGGTTGAAGCTACAATTGAAGGGACAGAATGCCCTTTGCCAATAGGTTCCATGATTCTGATGCAGTATAGATCATTTTTCTATCCAAGATTATATGGGATCTAAAAATTGGCAAAAAGAAGAATGGAGTCAGACCTGAAAGAAAAGGCAAGAAACCAAATAAGACTGTGGATATTAACCAACCCAAAGAAAAGAAGAAAAAGTAATAGAGCTGGAATACAGTCAGGAGTCTGGGAACCATGGAGATAAAGAATAATAGTGAACAGGAATGGAGAAATAGATAAAGGTCTGAGGAAATTGTCAGGCACTTGTGATTGTAGGCAAGTTTCCTCACCTATAAATGGATAAATTTGATTAATAAAACACTGCTCCTGGGAATGACAATAAAATTAAATAAGGAACCATCCACATGAACATTTGCCACAATGGCAGACAGAGAGTAGACCTGGTCGAGGTCAGCTATTATTATATTATAATGATGGTGTTGGGTAGGTCACAGACACCTTCTGCACAGTTAACATTCAGCCATACCTGACACAGGCCTTAAGGCAATAGAAATTACAAAAGAGTAAATGTGGATTTGAAGACACTAAAAGAAGCACTGGAATGAAAAACTGGAAGTATAGAGAGAAAAGGAACATAATGCATAAATGTTAACGTTAGTGTTCACAGAGTCAGCCATGGCTGGATTGTCGATTCTGTACAAACCTTTTGGAAATGAGCATGTATTTTAAGTCTGTTTCCTTTGCTGATTTGGAGTTTTTGCTGATTTCTTACCCTCAGAAGAGGCTTTTGTGACCATAAGAATTCTGAAAGGCAAATCAAGCAATTAAAATTGTTACTCCCACTTGATAGATGAAGAAAAGAGTTTGGAGATATCTAGAGATTAGTTCATAGTACCCTAGCTCATGAGTGATGACTAAGGTTTGAACCCAGTCATTTTGCCTAAATGAGCTCCCATTCCATTCTGCCATGTGCTATATAAGGAGCATGTTAGATATTCAAACATGAAGGTGGTAACCCCCATAAAACTGAACAGCAGGACAGATGTTGTTTGCCGGAGGCTGAGCCAGATCTGTCTATGAGTGCCAAATTGCTGTCTCAGCGCTGCTGCTGATGCATAGTCTGCTCGCCTGCCCCAGGCACTAGGAGCAACAGGGAGGACCTTCCATATGGCACAAAAGTCCCCAAAGCTCTAGGAGGCACAGCCATGTGACTCCACTGAACTTGCTTTAACACTTCAGCCATGAGCAGCTGGGGCAATGGTCTAGCTTTGGTCAGGATGAACTTAGGGGCTGCCTACAGAGTCCACCTGATGTCTAGGTCCAGGCAGTACCTTCACGGCAAATGTAATTTTCAGTTAAGCAAATTCTGGGTAATTACAGGATTTTTGATATTTTATTAATGAATGAGCTTGCACGAGATATTGAAGGCAATCCATGAGCATATGCATATTTGTGTCATGAAAGCATTTTGGGTTTATTTGTCTCTCGGTACAGCAGAGGCACAGTTGGTATCTGGTGGTTTAAGACAAGCAAAATGAAATCCTTTCCTTTTACAATTATATAAAGCCAAGTTATAAATCAGGAAGGTACCCTGCAAATCATCTCATCTACTATTTTTATAAATGAGATGACTGACGTCTCAGGGGCACCAGTGGAACTTGGTTGTGGTCACAAAGCTGACAAGTACAGAAGCCTGGATCTGCCCCATGATGCCTGGACTTGAGTTTCCCCACTCTTTTGTGTCAGGTAAAAGTCAAATACATATAAAGTACCAGTTCTCTATTTTTCTCTTCTTTCCTTTTGTTTTTGTTCCTCTTTCATTTCTTTATTATCCAATTCAATTCATAATTTAATAATTTTCCCATTCTCTGTCTATTTATGTACTTTGCTCATTTTCTCCCCTTTAAGAATGTGTAAGAATATTCTTTATACAATGCGTTCAATCTGAAAAAGCTTTGTTGGTTTGTTTTTTCTGTTTCCAGTGCTTGTAAAATGGAAACTAAGGATAAGTGTCTTGGCTAAGTTTACACAGCTATCCAGAAACATGTTAAAGCTTTCTTTGCTGTCAGTCTCAAATATTTCTTTACTTATGACCATAACACTTTATCTTTTCTTGTTTCTTTCTGTTTTTTTTTTTTTTTTTTTTTTTTTTTTTTTTGAGACAGTCTGGCTCTGTCACCCAGGCTGGAGTGCAGTGGCGTAATCATGGCTCACTGCAGCCTCAACCTTTCTGGTTCAAGCAATCTTTCCACCTCAGCCTCCCAAGAAGCTGGGACTACAGTCGCATGCCACCAGGCCCAGCTAATTTTTGTATTTTTTGTAGAGCCAGGAGTATGCCTTGTTGCCCAGGCTGATCTCAAACTTCTGGGTTCAAGCAATCCATCCACCTCAGCCTCCTAAAGTGTTGGGATTACAGGCTTGAGCTACCACGCCCAGCCCATTTTCTTTCAATATAGTTAACACTTGTGGGCCATGACCTTCATATTATTGGTAGCATGACAGCACTGTTTTTTCTTCAATACCTACATAAACTCATAAAAATCTTTAGTATTCGCTTCTTCAAACTTCTAAAATTTTAAAAGAGGAGCTCACACAATTTCACTGGTGGGACATTATGGCAACTAGTTTCAACACTTACAAGGGAGAGATTTTATTGTGATGCCTCATAAAATAATTACTATCCTAATTTTAAAAAGCATAAAAGTATATTTTCAACAACTACTGACACATGAATGAACGACATCACATCATTAGCACATCCTTCTCAATTTACATATTCTTTGAAAATCTCATTTACTGAGGTTATTTATGTCTTCATTTACCATTCACTACCTTGATTAGCCTAGGTTAATCAAAATTGCTTTAAGGAAATTGATTAGTTAAAAGTCTTTCTGACGTAATCTGTCAAGCATACCTGATTCAGTCCTACTGTGTGTACTGAACTTAGGCTTTCTTGTGCTCGTCTTCTTCACAGATACCCCCATGAGACTCCGAATATGCCTGAGGCAGACTGAAGTGTAGGTTAACAGATTTTTTATTTGCTTAAGGGTATAATGGATTTCATGAATACTTAACGACTGAATGAGTTTAGGCCAATGGCTGAAAACAAAGGCTAAGACCATTGTACTGGACTATAGTATTTAAGCTACTTTCCTCATCACACCCGCTTCTAAGGAATCTACCAGTCCTTCAGCCCGTAGATGGCCTTTCTTTTACTATGTAACCCATGTCCTTCACTTTTTATAGCTATTTGAACCAAAGATGAGCACTTCATGTAAAAGTAGTAAAATAAAGCCTGGATGGTGATTTTTGACTTGACATGAAGAAGTAAGTATGGTTAATCACAGTTTTCTTCCAGAAATTTGAAGTAAAAAATTTTGAAAGAATTAGTTCACATGTAGGGAGATCAACAAACATATGAAAATACAAGACTGACACCTTGCCCTCTTCCATATGAATATGTTTATTATTTAGTGTAATCGTAAAAAATATACTTTGAATTCAGGAATAAACCTCAAAATACAAGAACACGCTATCTAATACTATCCCCCCAAATAAATAGTGTCTTGAGCCCCTTTCCTATATATTTCTGATTCCCTAATCAGAAATATAATACATAACAATCCTTATAGATATAATAATTATAATTATAAGTCACAACTTCTATTTTTCTACCAATGATTAGGCCATTTATAACTTTCTTTTTCATTGGAATAACAGTGTACTTTTTATTCTGAAAGCCCAGTTCATCTGATGGATGGACCCCTTCTATAGCAAACATTTCAGGTAAACATATTTTATTTTTATTTTCATGCTAAAATTTTTTTTGTTTACTTTTTTTAGTACAAAGATCATGAGTAAGGGCCCAAGAAATAAACAGAGTTTCTGATTCCTAGATCAATTTTAGTTTTAGCCCACATGTTTCCTTAAAATCAACATCCTCTTTTGGGAAAAAAATGCAGATGACTTCTTTCTCACAACCAAAGAATGAAACTAAAACATGTCCTAGTAAACTGAGAAATCCTTATTATCCTTAACATTGACAGGAGTGTATGGAATTCTCTTGCTTTTGGGAGACCCTCACCCGACCTGGCTGAGGATCAGAAGGGTGTGGATGATAAAGTACTATGGCGCAGGTGTACTTACGTAATCTTCCTACCAAATTCCCTATGTATTCCTAAAAACATATAGCAGCGCTTTCTAAACACTGGTTCATGGAGTCCATCTGTAATGATTTTCCTAGAAATGAGAAAAAAAATTCTGTAGTTAATTTTATATAAAAAAATTTATTAAATTTAAAAATATGTTCTTCATGTAAATATCTCCTCCTTTCTATATTCTGGAGTTTGAATATTCTTTCTTTTGTGAAAAGATAATATTAAATAGTGTTTCTTTCTCAAGATCTCATCTTGGCCTGGTAAAATACTGGCCACCATATGTTAATCCAAATGTACATTTTAAATTTTACTAAAAAATTCAGCATAGAGACTACTGAAGTAGAATCAAGACTTGCTGGAAAAATAACCATGTGCTGAACCAGGAAGCCATACAGAAGCCACAGGTAAGGCCAAGAAAGAATGATCATGGGCCTTACAATGAGCTTTGGTGTAGCCAAGGGTGTCATGGTTGCTCAGGAGCCAAAGGGTCACCTTAGGAGCTCACAAACAGGAGGAGGAATCTGGGGGCCAGAGTTTCAGTGATTTTGCTAAAAGGGTAGTTACCAAACAATACTGTTTATTACCATGACTACAGCCTCATTCCATGTGAGTATCTCCTGGTCTGTGAAGCCCAAGAAAGGTGGATTTTTTTTTAAAACCCAAAGAAATTGGACACTAGACTTAATGAGATACATGGAATCCTGTGAACATTCCCTCTTCTGTGCACTTGTATATGTGGTTTCATTTTTCCACCTAGGCCTATGGTTTCTAATCCCGGGTGCATAT
Organism: Homo sapiens; assembly: GCF_000001405.40. NCBI lineage: Eukaryota > Metazoa > Chordata > Mammalia > Primates > Hominidae > Homo > Homo sapiens. Next base: position 83,677,379 of record NC_000010.11, read on the forward strand.
TAGAAACACCTAGGAGTTTTATATAACCACCCAAAGAGCACTGTGATGAGTCTGGAGGACTTGACCTTCTCCACGGTGTGCCCTTGTATAAGCCACTTCATTCCAGTTTCTTATTACAAAATAAAGTCACTGGAATAAATGATCTCAAAGCTTCCTTTTAGCTCAGATGTTCTACAATTCTGTTCTCTTCCACACATCTATTTTTTCCCCAAGAAGGAAGTGCCATGTCTTGATTCCAAGATGGAAAAATGACATTAATTTTTAATATATTTTCCTTCATTTAAATTTTGATTTTTTTAAAAAAAAATTTTCATTTTTTTTTAAATGAAACAACTCAAGTGCCTGGTTTTTATCTTAAAAGCAGAGATGGCAAAGAATTAGAGTACCTTATTGCTTCTTTTGCTGGGGATGCATGGCCATAGTTCACTGAAGGACAGCAAGTTCTCTTTGTTGACACACCCAAAGGACTTGCTGGAATTACAGAAATTGCTAGAAAGCTGTTCACAGAGAAATGTCTCATCAGAAGCACTCTGCTACAAAACCGCTTGAGGAGGTCGTTGGAGGCAGCTGCTGGCCACCAGGAGTTGCTGGCTGCTGTGCACTGCAGAACCTGGACACCAGAGAAAGTGCAGGCCCTGCTGGGGAAGTCCTGTGTGTGACAGGAGCTCGACCTAGAGAAACCACATAATTCAGCAGGAGTCTGCACAAGGAGCACACTGGAAGCAGGAAGCAAAACTCTTTCCTTTCTTCTGAAATTTCTCTCAAGCACTCGCTACTATCAAAATTTAGCATTGTGTTTGCTAGTAGAGAAAAAATATTTAAAGGCCCCAGATCCACTTTCATAGAACAAGCTAAAAGAGTGAATTAGAAGCTGAGATGCCATAAACTGATAACAGCATAAGCTCCTCGAGGGAGACAGCATGTCTGACTATTCCTATGTTCTTCTGCCTGGGGAACAAAGGGATTGCAGAATGTTTGTGGAAATTGCTGTTACTGTACACATCAATTGTTCTGTGTGTGTTGTCCCCAAAGCCCCCACTGTGGGAAACAGGCCCAAGCAGCATCTGGGTTTTCCCCTGATTTCCAACCTGTACTCCGTCTTCCTCTCATGTTCTTGTCTTACCACTGGAACTGGACTCCAGCTGTGGGTCTCTCACCTTGGAATAGTTTTCTCCAGACACTTCCTTAGTATTCTTTGATTCCACAGACTCTAAAATAGAGAGAAATTCACTAAACCATGTTTACTTTAGGTAAAATGGAACGCATCATCATATCCAGTGTGGATGGACACAGAGCAGGTGCTGACTAAGGAAGTTAGGCAAAGCATTATAGTCTCCAGGCTGCAGTTCCACTGGGCCAATGTTATTTGCAAACACTGTGGGGCTCTGCAAATCTGAGGAAGAATTAAGTCCCCAGACACCTGAGAAAACTCTGGAGGGGCCCACAGAGCCAATGAAGACAAATGTGCAATGGGTTTAGATATTTTTTCTTTAAATTCTTGTTTATGACTTTAATTTTTACATAAACTCATTATCAAGATAACGAGGAAGGATAAAAATGACATGGACAGAGAATGGAAGGGAAAAAGCTGAAACATTGAGAAGCTAGAGTTTCAAAGTTAGAAGCAATAGCTGACATCAAACAGAACTGAAAATAACTGAGTGTATTTCCTTATTGCTTCTTATGAAAGATATCCTGCTTTCCATATTAGTTGTTCAGTCACCTTCCTTAAACAGGCATAGAAAAGTATCATCAGTGCCACAGTCCCTTGTTTCATAAGGATAGGGAAAACAGGGCCTAGTATTTTGGCAATTTGACTTTAGAGCACGGAGAAGCACAGACATGGTAAACGGAAGCAGTGTATACTGAATGCGTTTTTTAATTCCTCTGCTAGAACTCCATATTGTCACCTGCATATTGCAGATGATGTTCTGATTGGAGCTGCCAAGGGCCCTAGAAGCAGGAAGTACCATCAGTCCCAAGCTTTGTTCTGCATAGGAACAGGTGTTATGAAGTGATGAATGGAGAAATCTCAGCTGCCCCACAGAGGGTCCCATGGGTGAAGAAAATCTTGAATGTGCCAAGTTCCAGAGTTAGCCTTCCTCGCTACATGTCTTGAAAATAAATCACATTGAAATCATGTCGACCTGTCCAATGTTGATAAGGATCTCAGGGATAACTAATTAAAAATGCCAGTAAAGCCCTCTCTGCTGCTTATTTAAACTGAAACCAATCATGGGGCTGGTTTGCTAAGCATTTACGTGTGTGTGTGTGTGTGTGTGCCCAATTTTATTAGAAATTTAACATTTTGTTCTTTTTAAATATAACTTTTTTCTACAATTATAAAGATAGTGTATCACGATCATAAACACTTAAAGAAATATAGAACAACAAAAAGAGAAGATTAAAGTCCCACCTTGAACAGAATTTCATTTGAGAGGTCTCCAAGTACAGAAATTCACTATTTTGATGAGAAACAGGAAGAGGAGATGAGGGTCACTACGTATCCCCATGTTTTTGTGTCCTTTGATCTTTCTCACTTCTCTGTAATGCATTCAACTCTTCCTAAGTTTAAGCCAAAATTCAATAATTTTAAATCTGATCTCTTAACTTTTAACTTCTGGCTTAACATCTCAACCCCCATGTTTTTTCTGCATATATAAGGGATGAGTTGAAATTTTTTTAATGTGCTTGTTGGATGAAGACGCTTTAGATAGTCATTGCAGGACAAAGTAAGGGCCTTTGATTTCCTCCATGGCATTGAAGCAAAATGGCCATGAGGTGAGTTTTCCAGACGAGGTTCTTGAGAAGGAAGCAGGCAGGCACAGACAAAAGGCTCAGTGAGGGAGGACTACACTGCAGAATAGAGGAATAGCAGTTAACGAAACAAAATGCCATCAGAAAAGTGTTCACAGTCTGGAGACCAAACTTTTACGGTGCAGACAATCTGTCAGAGCTGGTACAAATTCCTACTTCACCACTGCCCAGACTTGTACACCTGAGCAAGTCACCTGACAACTTGTTACCTTTATTTGTGCATAAGTGATGAGGTTTGGTAAGCATACCTTCTTCACTGGATTATTTTCAGAACTACTACTCATTATTAAAAATCTAGGCAAGCCCCTGGTGCTGAAGCACAGGAGATACTTGATAAGCACTGTTCCCGCGTCTCTTCTCCCTTGCTGCTGATTTACAATCTAGTGGGGTCTGGCGTTGAGGAAACGTTACTTTTGAAGTCATTTTTTCCATAGTTTTTTTTTTTATTCAATATGTGTCTGTATCCTGTTTCCTACCTCAGAGTTTGTAACCCCAGGTTAGCAATACCGAAAGTGTTGCTATGGCTACCACTATACTGTGACTTCGGGTGGTGAGAAAGCTGCAGGAGGCAGAGTCTGTGCTTTCATGCAAATGTCTTCAAAACTGCAGAGAAGGAAGGGTGAGCCTTGTGAAGGTGCTTGGGTATGAAATTTTGTATATGCAGTGGGCAAGGGTTGGAGTCACACCTGCGATGTGAGGTCTGGGCATGTCAGATGCAGACAACATCCTCCCTGCAACACCAGGCCCCCTGCAAATGAGCAAGTGCCTCACTCCAGAGACTCAAACACAAATTCACATTTCCCTGTATTTTTGTCTCTTTTCTCAATCTCTTTTCTATTTCCAACCAGATATCCTTTTCTTCCTTCCTTTAAAACAGATTCTCCCTGATTTTACCCTCAGGAAAAAAAAGGTAAACGCCCTTTTTCCTTTAACTAAACTTGCTTATTGAATTGATTCAGTTTATAGAAGGCAGCAACATCCAGAAACATTGCTTTTCTCCCACACCATCATGAGGTATCGATCCCTCCCTTTCTGTCCAGATATCTTTGGCATTTTTTCTTTTTTTTTAGCTTTACTAAGGTATAATTGACAAATAAAAAGTGTGCATATTTGAGGTGTACAATGCGATGTTTTGATATATATATATATACACACTGTGAAATGATTTCCACAATTGAGCTAATTAACATATCTATCACCTCACATAGTTACCAATTTTTGCATGTGTGATGAGAATACTCAAGAGCTACTCTCTTAGTAAATTTCAAGTATACAAAACATTATTATTAACTATAGTCACCATGCTATACATTAAGTCTCCAGAATTTATTTATCTTAGAACTGAAAGTTTGTACTCTTTGACCAACATCACTCCTCGACCCCTGATAACCACTGGTTTACTGTTCCTATGAGTTCAGCTTTTTTACATTCCCCATGTAAGTGATATCATGCAGTATTTGTCTTTCTGTGTCTAACTTATTTCACTTAACGTCTTCTGGGTTCATCTGTGTTGTCACAAATGGTAGGACTTCCTTCTTTTCGAAGATTGAGTAGTATTCTATTGTGAATATACACACCAAAGCTTTTGGTTTTTTTTTTTTTTTTTTTTTAGACGGAGTTTCCCTCTGTCTCCCAGGCTGGAGTGCAGTGGCCCGGTCTGGGCTCACTGCAAGCTCCACCTCCCATTCCAGGTTCACGCCATTCTCCTGTCTCAGCGTCCCAAGTAGCTGGGACTACAGGCGCCCACCACCATGCACGGCTAATTTTTTTTTTTTTTGTATTTTTAGTAGAGACGGGGTTTCACCATGTTAGCCAGGATGGTCTTGATCTCCTGACCTCGTGATCCACCCACCCCGGCCTCCCAAATTGCTGGGATTACAGGCGTGAGCCACCGTCCGGCCTATACACACCGTTTATTTATCCATTTACCTGTCAATGGACACTTAGGTTATTTTCAAATCTTAGCTGTTGTAACTAATGCTGCAATGAACTTAGGAGTGCAGATGTCTCCTCAAGATACTGTTTTCATTTCCCTTGGATATATGCCTAGAAGGGGGATGACTGGATCATATGATAATTCTATTTTTAATTTTTTGAGGAACGTCCGTACCATTTTCCATAATGGCCATACCAATTTACATTCCCACCTACAACATATAAGGGTTCCTTTTCTCCGCATCTTTGGGGAAATGCAATTCAAAACTACATTGAGATATTACCTCGCACTTGTTATCATGGCCATTGCCATTGCCATTCTAACCTGAGATCACATCAGTCCACAGTTTGAACAGAATGTACTTATCAGTCCAGTCAAAATCCTCAACATGAAAGGCAAAAATTATGCAGAATTACCTCTCCAAGCTCTGGACTTGTCATTTAACATATGCTATATCATTTTATCTTCCTAGCTATTCTACGGAATAGCTGACATTTCCTCATTTTACAGAGATAAGTACTTTGCCTAAGGTCACAGAGTCAGTAAGTATCTGAGTCACTATATACTGATATAGTGCCTGATACTATATAATTGCAAAGCCAGCCCTCATTCTTTCTGCTTAGTTGCCTTATAGTGACATAGACATGTTACATTCAGCACAAAACATTGCACCTATGTGAAAGTATACGCAGCATTAAAAGCTACCAGTTCTAACTGGCCAGTAATGTGTCTAAGAATTTTTTTAAGTCAGTACAGTATTCATCACTGTAACCTATTTTCAGAATTGCTAGTCTTTGAAAAATATGTATCTAGGGAAGCAGAGGAAAGGAAAGAACTGATGTTGCCTATGGCATTTCATATCTAATGCATAGTACTGTACTCCTCAGCTCCCAGAAAATGAATTCCTGTCTTTCTCTCACTTCTTAGAAGATTTGGTTACTATTCACATAACTGAGAAAATGTACATGTTATCCTTTTCCAATCTAATGCTCTACTTTTCCATTATGAAATTAGGAGGCAAAGCTATGATAGAAAAAAAAATGTCCTTTAGACCATGAATAATCAGGGTATGAATCCTGATACTTTCAGCAACCTCATGCAATTATTTAACTTTATAAGAGGCGGCCATGGCTCTCTCCTCGCAAGGGTAGAAGTCATGCTTGTGAAGGGATGTCTGTGCGTATCAGGACCGCCCTACATAATATGCTGTCTGTAATATCATGCTCATCCAAAAAGGCAATAATTATGTTCTGGAGTCTCAAGCACAAATTCATTTTTTCTAGTATTTTTGTCTCTATTTTCAGTCTAATCCCTATTTCCAACCACATAACCCTATTACTATTAAAAAATTCAGGGAAAATGCATATTTAAAGTTCCTAGTAATTTATCTGGCACAGAGTAGATGCTCAACAGAATGAATTTCCTTGTCCTTGTCCTTTTCCATTTCAAAAAGGAGAACAATTCACTTCTCTGGTTTGGGTACAGGCTACTCTTGTTTTTTTGACAAATCCATTATCCACAGGCAATAGCTCTGTGAGAAGTTCAGGAAAATCAGCATTTACTCAACAAAATGACACTCTGATATCATTTCCCTGTGGGGTTTAATTATTTAATAAGCTTACAAACACCCACTGTATATGAAAGGGAGCAAATAGAACAAATCAGGGACTTGGCCTTTGAAAAACTCACAGCCTGGCTGGGGACAGAATGACCCAAGAAAGAGTGGAGAATGTGGGATAAGAAATGCTGCATCTGACTGGGGGACTCCAGATTAGAACCCCAGAGTCATAAAGAGTGTGGGAAGTCTCTCTGACCCCAGGCCAAGTGAAGAGATGATGATGGAATTGAACTCTCCACAAGAGTTAAAGACCTGTAGTTCTTCTAGGTTTCAAGATGATATAAACCCTCTACCCCTAAAGATAGGACCAAATCTTTACCAGGGAAGCCTGGCAGCAATCACCTTGCTCTCTACAGGCTGCAACCAAAGACAACCATTTCCAGGAGTTAGCTGATTAAAAATATTAGTTCCTAGTGAATTGTATTTCAGTATTAGATGTGAGCATTAGGATCTCTGTGTAACACATGGGAGCAGAGAAGCTTCACCTATACTCTTAAACTGCATTGACATGGTCCAGTTTAAGATAGAAATTAGACAAATCTCTGAGTCATTTGAGAAACCCAGCTAACTTAAACTTATGAGTTAAGTATTGGGCTGAGCAGGCTGCCCCAACAGTCTACCTCAACTTTCAGAGGAAAGGACGATTCACCTTCACTTCCAGAGGCTTCCTCAGAGTCTTCCAAGAAGGAAGGCTCTCCATAAGGGGAGTTCTGTGCTACTAGAGACACCCAGGCAATGTTTTCCCTTAGGAATCTCTGCTGAAAATAAGAGGCATCTTGGCTAGTTTGTGTTTCCTCTCCACTGTCTGAAGTTTAGAGAAAACAAACATTGGAAAACAAAAAAAAAGGAGTAAACATTCATTCAGCCCACATCTGGGGTCAAACACTCTTCTGTGTGCTTATCTCCAACAGTGCTAGACATCATTAACTCTATTGAGCAGCTGCAGAGATTAGGATCATGGAGTTAAAGTAACTTTCCCAAGGTTACTGAGCTGGTAAATGGTGGAGATCAGATTCAAACTCATGACTCTGAAAAAAACTTACAAGATTTTTTTATTCTACCATACTGCACCTCCTGAAATGACAAGATTAGCAGTTCCTCTCTTTGTTTCTCTTACCTTCCTTTTTTATTTCCTTCTCTATCTTTCTGTGCTTTCTCTCCCTCCTTTGTATTTCATTTCCTACCCTCACTCTTGATGATATTTGGGTGCCATACAGGTCATGCTTGTTGACATTGGTTCATACTTCTCACTGCACATCATTTTCCAATAAAGTCAAATTCCTATCTAGGGGAAAAGCTTTCAATGAAAAGTTAGAAACAAACATTATATGTGCCTGACCATCAAATTACAAGCATCATTAACTTTCTTCTATTCTCTCTTTATCTTTTTAATATATTTTTAGAGTTATTTATTGCTTAAGACATCAGTTTGTTGAATGACACTTCCAGTCATTGCCTCCAAAATATATAGGATTGTTATGGGATCATACACTTTAGGCAGTATTAAATTGCCAAAGGAAGATTAACTCTTTTCCTACAATTTAATTCTGTAGAAAATTTCCCTTATATTCATATGTGTTGCTTCTACTCATGATTCATATGTGGTGGCTGGTAAGTATTAGGTCTGTCTTTCATTTGCCCCTAGTGTTCAGGGGAGTATTTTATTGTGATGCCATGAAATGCAAGGTTAATATTACTCAACAGGTCATATACACCATTTGCTGTCCACCACGAAGAAATACAATTAAGATTTTAAGCAAATAAACCATCAGAAAGGAATGCATATTGCTCTTCAAGCCACAACTTCAGTGTCATTGAAGAGTCCAAATGGCTGCAATCCCCGTTAACAACATTGTTTATTTCAGAGTCTGGCAGTTTTTTAAACAGCTGAAGGAGCACAAATGTAGGTCACTGTTGGGAAATTATGCTGAACAACGCTCCATACCTCAGAATTGGGCCATGCCTTGAGGTCAGCACAAACATAATAACACTACTGTCTCACTGTTCACGTCTAGCTCTTGGCCAGACCTGTCCGACTCATTTAAGCAGCCACATCCAACTTTATATATGAGCTAAATACAGACAAAATGAAATCTACAAATTATTCTAACTCTGACATGCTCACCTTGTTAACAGATGAGGACAGGGAGTCAGAGTGTAAGTTAAAATAATCAAAATAGGAGAGTGTTTTGGTTATCTAGTAGAGAGTAACAAACCACTCCCAAACTTAATGGCTTAAAGTAACTGCCACATTCATTTTGCTCACTAATCTGCAGTTTGGAAGAGCTGGAAAGAAGGTGGCAGCCCATCTCTGGTTCACTTGGCATTTGCTCAGCCACTCAAAATCATGATGGCATCTTATGAAAAATATCTGTAGAACCTGTAACAGAGAATGGGTTATTAAGTGCCTTTTGGACACCCAACAACAGAAATGACTCTGGACTCTGCCCTGAGATGGAATGTCTGTAACCTTAAATTAGAGAGAGCCTCCACTTTATCCTTGAGAGGGTGGTGGTTCTTTTGACAGTCACTGGCCCCTTTTTCTGGAGGGGCAATTCTTTCTCTTATTTAAAGAATGATAAATGTGAACAAACACATACAAACTATGGAGAACCACTAAATTATTTGATTTTGTGTTTAAAGCAGCTTTTTATCCTAATAAAATGTATACAGTTTAAAATTATCTAAATTTAAAATTTAAAATTTAAATTTAAAATTCTGTCAACAATTTTGTTGACAGAAGCTCCACACAGTAGGCAGAATAACCTTTGGGAAAATAGTATACACCTATGTGAGTGTGTGTATATATATGTCCACATAAATGTATACACATTTACTTATTTATATGCCTATATATGTGTGTAGTTTATATTCATAGTTAACTAGAAAATTATTTTTGCATACCAGGATTATGAACAATTTTTATATAGTAAACCATTTTCTAAAAAGTTTTTCTCTCTACATTGTGTGTGTGTATATATGATATATGTGTATGTGTGTATGTGTGTGTGGGGGGGGGGGGTGGGTGGGTAGGTGCATATATACAGATACCGGCTGGGTTAATAAAAATCTTTGAGGTTTTTACCTACATTCCCTCGAGTAGTGTTATTGTGCCCTAGGTTGGGGGATAATAGTGAAGCCATTTATCCCATAATGTGCACCATGACATTTCTTATGATGTCTTTCATTGAAAAGCCAAGCAGATCCAGAAAAAGTTTGCTCCCGTTTTGATATCAAGCTTCCTTTAGTTCAGTAGCATTCTCTAGTAGTTTTAACTCTACTGAGCATATAAACATTCTAAAACTACCTCTTGGCAATAAAGAACATATGGAGGTTTTCTAAGGTCCTAAATGCTTAGACACAGTAGTACAGACATTATCTCTTAGGAGGACTGTTTACTTCTCACACTTGTTTAACTTTGTCCCTTGCTCTATACCTCACCAGCTTTTCTGGGGATTTTGTTTCCTTTCTGGCCTGATTGGTTGTGAATGGAAGATTGGGATCGTTTGTGGTTGGGATTTACGGATACCTATCGTATAATCATTTCTTCTTTGATTCCACTTGGAGTAACCTGTTATACACTGAGGGAAGTTTTATTCTCAATATATCCACCTAAATCTTTTGACTAAGTCATAAATACCTTCCTTTCTCCTAAGGAACTAGACATTTAATTATCAAAAAATTATCAAATAAAAAATAGACTCAGTTGTCTCCTGTGTCCACTGCAACAGCCCATCTCTGAGGTAGTGGAAACAATGGACAGGCCTCAAGATAACTTAAGATATTAAAATATTAGAAGGGAAGTTGGAGATGGGAGTTTTAGGGAATAAATCTAAAAAAAGGAATTGGCTAATATTTCCAAATAGCATCTTGTCATGATTGGTTTGTACCTCATGTATATTTCTTGTTTATTCATGAACGATCTGCTCTACTAGGTTCTGTACACTTTACAAAAGGAAATAAAAACCATGGTGATTCAAATAAGACCACTGTGGACATCCTAATTTCATCACTTGATGTTTAGTTATCCTTATACAATTATAAGTGACTTTATGATTTTGAATTTCAGTTTTGTCATCTGTAATGTAAGCAACTTCACAAAAATCTTTTAAAAATAAAATAAATAATAAAAGTAAAACACAAAATAACAGCACCTGACATTTAAAAATCTTGCTATGTATCATTTCTTAAATGGCATTCATTCCTCTGAATCATGATTCAGACAAGACCCTTCCTTTGTGTTTCCACAAGGAATCAGTTAAAACATTTGTGTTACACACTGGCCAGAATTGGAACCCAGATTCATTTGTTTAAGCACACGATTCTTCACTTCTATTTTTCGCAAGGGTGTCAGAGAAAAGCTATGAGCCTATTACAGAAGAATGAGCAGAAGTTAACTATGCATTTGGTCAGAATTAAGTTATCATGTGACAACAAGTCATCACTTGAAATTGCTTCTAGGGGGTCATCTGCAGTATATAGAATTATTTAATTGGCTTGTCCTGTAGTTGAAGTCTAGAAAGTTGGAGGCTAGAAAGTATGGACCAAAAACACACCCAAAAGTGAATCCAAAACATTTTGAGAATGGGAAACATTTAAAATCAGTCCATTCAAAAGGCACATTAAATTCAAAAGGCCAAAAATAAAACAGATGACTGACTTCTCAAAAGAAGTGATGGAAGGCAGAAGATATTGAAAAGGTATCTATAAAGAACTGAATAAATATAATTGTCAAACTAGAATTTGATTCACAGTGGACTCATCCTTTAAAAGAGAAGATGAGAAGCCAGGCATGGTGGCTCACGCCTTTAATCCCTGAACTTTGGGAGGACAAGGCGGGTGGATCACCTGAGGTCAGGAGTTTGAGACCAGCCTGGCCAACATGGTGAAACCCCGTCTCTACTAAAAATACAAAAATTAGCTGGACTTGATGGCACGTTCCTGTAATGCCAGCTACCCGGGAAGCTGAGGCAGGAGAGTCACTTGAACCCGGGAGGCGGAGGTTGCAGTGAGCAGAGATCGCACAATTGCACTCCAGCCTGGGCGACAAAAACAAAACTCCATCTCAAAAAAAAAAAAAAAAAAAAGAAGATGAGATGGAAATATTTGCCATACATACACATACACACACACACACACACCCCCAGAGGGAGAGAAAGAAAATTTCTAGAAAACCATCATTTAAAAAAAGATAATAGAGTTATCAAAGAAGGAAAATAATCCCAGAATAACACATATAAATACAGAAAGAAATGACGAACAATTTAATGGGTTTGCATGTTAGTAACTGTCAATGAATACTAACATTTTAATATTATAAAACCATAATAATATCTGAAAGGTTTTAAAAAATATGTAAAACTAAAATATATGACAAAAATAGCAAAGAATATGGTGGCATATAAATATAAAAAAATGTTCTAATGTTCCCATTGTCTGGAAAGTGGTAAAAGTAATACTTTTAATTAGGCTCAAGTAAATTTTTTTAAAGACTTTGTGCTCTCTCAGCTAACCACAAACAAAATAGTAAAAGCATGTTTAACAAAATAATGTCTAAAGGAAGAGAATGTGCAATTTTTAAAAAACTTGATTACTAAAAAAATACTAGAAAAGAATGCTAACAACAAGTACATCAGTTGTGACAAACTGAAAGAACATATAATGAGATATTTAAACTGTAACATATCGTGAATTAATCTAAATTGAAGTGAACTAACCATTTTAATTAAAAGAAAAAATATTAGACCATTAAAACTATATTATCTTAAAAGGGATAAATCTTAATTGTTAGAACAAAAATTACTGAGAGTAATTGAATAGAAAAGGTGTACAATGCAAACTAACTAAAAAAATCAGGCATAACTACACTAATGTTATTTAAAAGTAGTTATTAAAATAGGAAGCATTACAAGAGTTAAAGGGGAATGTTTCAAAATGACTAAAGGATAAAACCTACAAAGACAATTTCCCATTTCTAAATGTGTATGCCTAATAGTACATCCTCAAGATTATACAAAGCAAAAACTATAACGGAGCAATAAACAACATCCAATTATTGTGGGATACAATAACACATCTCCCTCAGAAACTGATATAGCAAGAAGACAAAGTATCAAAAAGGATCTAGATGGAATATCTTTTCAAACTTGACTTAATTGATATGTATACAATATTGCATAAAAACAGTACCAGAGTAAGCATCTTTTTCAATTATGAGTATTCACTGATATTTATTAATACTATATCATGAAGAAATTCAAAAGAATTAAAATCATTTATATATTCCCTGAGAACAGTGGAATTTAGCTAGAGAGTGATAACAAATGGACAATTGAAATTTTCATACATCTTAAAATTAACAATGAAGAACAAAATTGGACAAAAGGTTCTACTGAATACCAAGATTTTTATAATGCTAAAGCTAGTGTTGTATATGTACCAAGCAGAAAAAATTGAAACAGAATGGAAAGCTCAGAAATAGATCCACATATAGATGATTACTTGCTTTATGATAAAGGAGACTTCAGAGCAATGGAGAAAGGTTTTTTTTAAATCAACGTGAGGCATTTAGATAGCCATGTAAAAATTAATCTTTATCCTTAATTCACATAATATGCAAAAATTCAGTACAGGTGAGTTATAAATGAAAATGTGAAAGGCAAGTAGTAAAGCTTTTACACAATAACATAGGAAGATATTTCCATAAACTTATGGTAGGAAAGATGTCTTTGCAAAAATTAGCCAGTGGTGGCACGTGACTATAATCCCAGCTATGTGGGAGGCTGAGGCACCAGGTTCACTTGAACCCGAGAGATGGAGGCCACAATGAACCAAGGTCATGCCACTGCACTTGAGACTCTGTCTCAAAAAAAAAAAAAAAAAAGATATATTAAAAAGAACACAAAAAGTTAATAAATAGGAATAGGTGATTAATAATTTGAACTATGTTAAATTAACACATGTTCATCAAGAGACACTATTAAGCCAAGTTACAGTATGAAAGATACTTGCTGTATACATAGCTAACAAAATATTTTATGTAAGAAGGGCTCCCCCAAACAGGAAGAACCGAATAGAAAATGGTAAAATGCCTGAACTGGCATATCACAATTAACATATCCAAAAGTCCAATAAACATTTGAAAAGGTGCTTATCTCATCAATTATCAGACATGCAAATAAAAACCAATATAAAATATAATTGTCAGGTTTTTAAAAATCACAATAATATTTGTTGGGGAGGTGTGGAACAATGGAAAGTTTCATAGTTTTCTGTTAGAAGTATATGTTATGTCCGTGCAACCACTTGGGTACATTGGAAGTATCTTAAAGTTCATTTCACATATATATTCCTGTCACAGCAAGTCTACTCTTTAGTATATTCTCAATATAAATCTATGTACATTTTAGCAGCATTATTTGTAATAATCTTGTAATGGTAACAACACAAATGTCCATCAATTTTTGAATGAATAAATATATTGTGTGATATTCATACTGTGATCCTATACAGAATTGCAAATCAATTAAATTTATATAGCAAACATACAAATAACACAAATTGGCCCTGGATAATTCTGAGTAAAATAAAACAGACCTAAGAGAGTACATACTGTACAAATTTCAGTTAACAGGCAAAACTACCTAATAGTGTTAGAATAGTAATGACCTTTGGACGGGAAGCTACTGAGAGAGGCATCCATGATTTTATTTATGAAAATTAATTTAGCTATACATTCATGTTTTGTGTATTTTTCTGTATGTATAATTTAAAAGTTTATAAAGGAAAAATACTTAGGCCAACTTACATGTGACTTGATAAAATTTTTTCAGTAATTTTTATGTATTTCTAAATTCTTTCTTCAAGTGATGTTCTGATAAATGACGGGAGATTTGGGGATTTGGGGACCAACTTAAACCCACCCTTCTCCCCACTCTTCCCTTTCCTCTTGGTTTTACCCTGTTGAGTGCCAAGCTCACATGGAAAACTACAATGTCCTACTCTCTGTGACTACTCTCCACCAGTCAGCTCTTGGCCTCTTTCTGTAGGGAAATATTTTATAGAATTACAGAGTGGAACTATGGGGGTGAAGGAACTCTAGACGTTACCCTCCCCCTTCTGCAGTGACAGCTTGGGTAGTCAGACTTGAGGAGGGCTTCACTGGCCCAGGGGCACCTTTTACTTGGGAGATCTATTAGCTCTTTGATAATTAAAGGAAGCCTAAGATAAGCCCTGAGGAAAGGGAGTAAGGCTAGCCGCAGAGTGACTCTGCCACTGGTATTTACTTTGATCATGAGATTGCTTGTGCTGTGTCCATCTCAGTTTCCTAGGGCAGGAAAGTAGAGAGGTGCAGCCTCCCATAGTAATAGCTCTTAATTCCCAAAGGGTTAAGTGTGACCACTTGGAAAGCAGCAAATCTAGGTGAGGAGGAGAGATTTCCACAGGAAGACTGCAAGACCTATAGAAAGAATACCTATGGAGATGTTGACCTGACCAGGTTGTCTTTTTCTATGTAGATGCCTTCAGGGATCTGAGTCACTTCTCCAGGTGGCCTGGAGACCTAAATATCAGAAACTGGAGATTCCTTTCTGAGACTCATTTTTCTCATGCTAGAATGAAATGAACCACAGGTCAACCTAAAGTGTTGCAAGTACTAATAAATGCTCTTCTTGACCTCATCAACTTTGACTCATACATTGCTTGATTTAACCACAAGATTGTATGAAAAATGCCCCTCCTTGAATGTCTTGGCTCTGTAGTGGAATTATCATGGATAGTATCATAGCATCTTCCCAGTGCAGAGTGTTACCACTTTAGCTGTATCCTCCTTTCCTCCATTTCTAGTTCAATAATGAATTACTGGCAGGCATTTTGTGCAATGTAACCATGTCCCAGTCCTGCCCCTGTCTGCTGTTAACTGGGCTTGTCAATTTGAAAAAAGAGAGAAGTATAAAGGTAGAAAAGGAGAGGAGACTTTATTTCATATAAGAGGTTACAACCTGCAAGTTGGCCATCTCCCAGGCTGGGAAGCACAGCCTCCAGCCAAGAACAGAGACAAGCACTTCAAAAGAGAAGGTGTTGGGTTCAAAAGATGAGGGCTTACAGCTTTAGGCTGAATGGGTTGACTAAACGTACATATTCAACAGGTAACGAGAGGAACTATGAATTCATGAAAGTAGTCCTGACACATGTGTATTGAAAAAACATGCATATAACATACAACCCATGTCCATTTTAGGGGGGAGACTTAATATTTAAATGTGTTACAATTAGGCCCTCTACATCCAAAGGCATTTTCAGGACAAGAAGGCATGCAATGTACAACCTCTGTAAACTAGCCACAACCAGCCATGGTCAGTAGTCTTCTAACCTGGAGAAAGTTACTAAAATCAGTCTCTTCTCCAATCAAAGCTGCAGTTATGGCTGGTGGGCCAGGGCATCAGTTAGCTGGTGTCTATGAGCTGGATGAGTTGTAATTGTTTTAATATTGCCTATCTCAAGGACAATACTTATTTAGCTGCTAGGGGGAAAAAAAGAAAAAAAAGAAAAAAATGTGTGGCAGTTAGAACATAGTTTATCCTTTAAGTGTAGGAGTGAGTGACTTAACCCTCGCCTGCCATGGCCTTAGGTCTTGTCTCTAATTTTGGTATCTTAATGCTACAATGAGTCCGTTTTGTCAGTCTTATGATCTCTGGTTTAACATTAACGCTGGTCAGTTTTTGTGTCTAAACCATAAAAGGAGGAGGTATAATGAGCTGTGCCTGACCTCCCATCCTGTCATAGCTAGGAACTCAGTTTTCAGGTTTTTCTAGGGTCCCCTTGGCCACAGGGCATCCATTCAGTCGATGAGGGCTTAGGATTTTATTTTTAGTTTCGAGTCCTCATAACCAAGATGGGCCAATCGGAAGCTTATCTGTGAGTATTGAAATTTAAGGCTAAGTGAGATGTCATGCCTCTGTGTTTAGATAATACTGATATTTAAAATGCAGAAAGTGTGGGCCACTCTTCTTTTTTTTTAATGATGCAGACTTGGAAGTGAAGAAACTTGGTCTGCAGAGGAGATAAATAAGAAATATATATACAGAAAAACTGCAAGCCTCAATTCTAGTACTACATTCCTGCCCTTGGGTTTCAAGAGACACCCCTCTTTCATTATTGAACAAATTATCTCATTTATGCTGATTGAGGTAGTGTGAGATATTTTTATTTGTTATAAAAGAGAGCTAATAAATAGAAATATTATCACACTGAAAAACAAGTAGGTAGGTATTCTCAGCATGAGCATTACCTATGCTGATTCAAAATATCTGCTCCTTTAAATCTATAGCTTAGGTTCAAGTAGAGTTTTTTTCCCCATCTCAAAGATCTCTTTTTCTTACATGAAAACTTTAAGACTAGCTTATCATCTCTGTTTTGCAGTTTCCCTCTGAGACCAAAGGAGACAAAGGCAGTTATTTAGTTTTGTTTCATAACTGTCCTTCAAGATGTTGAAAATTGTAATTTGGCTTATTGACTTTTATCTTCTTGCAATTTGTTAACGTTTTCACTTGACTACATCTTACGCTACAGATGGGGAGAGAAAGCAGCACCAAGTCATTTTTCTAGTATTGCCTGTGAAGATCTTCCAGTAATTCTTATTCTCAAAAGAGCAAGCATTCTGGGCCACCTTCCCTTGGCAGAAGGAAGCAGAAGACACTTTTGTGGGCATTGCAGACAGCAGTGGAGGAAGTGGGCACATGATGTGCAGACTTGCCTTCCAAACCATGCTGATGTGATGGAGGTCGATCTGCCAGGCAGCAATTACACATTCACGGGGGAATCGATGCAGCTAAATTTACATTGACCTCAGCAAAATAGTTAGGAGTGGAGTAAATCCCTTCAGGCTCTTTTCCGGGGAAATGCAAATAGATGTAGACATGTATGTTCCTCAGAAAATCTTTTTCGGGAAACACATGGTTGGCCAGAAGATTATAGATGGATCCTGGGCCACATGGCATCTGCAAGTGTTTTGAGATCTTAATTTCTGTAGTTTAGTTTAAGCAGGAAAAGAGGTGGAACCTGTCATAAATAATAGTAACCTTAATATAAGTCAGTGAGCATTTTTTCACTTAATGTGTGCCAAGCATGGTGCTGTATTTATAATTAGTACAACTATAAGGAAAGGCATCATTATTATCATCTTATCTTATTGATGAGCAAACTGCAATTCAGGAAAGTTAAGTTGCAGAGTCTCACGTGTCAGAACTAGGACCTAACACAGGCAGTCTGATTCCAGTGCTCAGAGTTTGAGAGCACAATGTGAACTGTTTTTTTAATCATTCTTCAGACTATGAGGCACCTGCCAAGTTTTCAACCCTGAGGTCTAGGCAAAGGCTGTCAGAGAACCACACAACCAAGTGTAACCTGAGGAGTAGAAAGGAGACCTGGCATAAGGGACAGCATGTGGACAAACATGGTCAGTAGGCAGGAACAACAAATAGAACAGCTCAGTTCATGGTCGGCTGAGATCATGGAAAGCAAATGTGTCCAAGCCCCAACAAGGAATGCATGGGCCAGGCATGGGTGCATAAGAACATCTGCAGTGCTAGCTCTGTGTGCAGGAAAGGTACTCAGGCACCAGGGCTTTCCCAGACAGCAGGAGGAGTGAAGCATCATCACATCAGTGCATCTACTGCAGAGGGAGCACTGGCCTGCGTCAGAGCCCATGGTGCCCTTCCTCTGTGCCACTCTGTGTCCCTGTCCAGGCCTCATGGCTTTCTGAGCCTCTTTTCTATGCGAGAGGAGGAATCTCTATTTTGACTGCATTCATAGCCATGAATGAATCCAAGGAGAAGGGGCAGAGCTAACACTGGTTTGGGCTCCAAATCTCAGAATCTTTTGACCACAGTTCCCAGCATCATCCCATCACAGATGATTTAGCATCTGCCAAAAGCTTTGTAAACTGTCCCTTTTGGAGAATTTCTTGGACAGGGGAGAGTGACCACTTCATAGGCCACGGCTATATTCTTGCTACCCCAAAGGCTGCCCCTGCCCAGTCCTTAGCTGTGGGATGATAAATATACCCGAGTGGCTTTGCTTCTGTCATGCATCCTTCAGCCTAAATTCTCTCCTAGGGCAGAATGTTCTATGGTTTGTTCTCAATTTCTTCTCTCTTCCCTCACCTCAGCCTTTCCCCCATTTCTTAATTTTGGTTTGGTTTTCTGAAGAGCATCACTCCTCAGCTAGTTTATCTCAGCCCAGATTCCTTAGAATACTTACTAAGGTTTCTCAAAGCATTGGGTGCCTAAATACATGTCTTTTACAACTCACGTTGATCATTAGATAGTTCTGGTAGTTACTGGTTTTTCCCAATACTTGCCCATGGTGTTTTAACCCCCTAATAAAACAACTGGAAATCCCTAGATTTTATTTTTCATGGGCAGGTGGTTTGGGGAGACTTGGGATCTCCTGAAATTAAGACTCCTCTGATTCAACAATTATCTGAGAATCAAGAAAGAAGAAAGTGAAAAAAAAATGAGAATAATGAAACAGTTTAACATTTCTGAGGAATAGACTGGAGGTAATATGACATCTTTCAATTGGAGCTGGGAATCATTATTTGTTGGCCTGGCAAATTCAGTTCGGATTAATTGTGAAAAATGCCAGTTCGGAACAAGTTACTTGATTGAGTTGTTTAAATCACCCTTATCAAGAGTTGTTTGAGGACTGCCTAATCAGTCTACCATTAGAAGTATTTGCATGATCTAGAGCAACAGAAAAGAGGCCGCCCCAACTCCCATTTTGGAAGAAAGGTTTTGTTGTGGGTGGAAGGTTGGTTTTGGTTTTAATTTTGTTTTGGTTTTCTAAAGAGCATCCTAGAATTGAAGGACAATAACAGAGTTGATTCAATGGAGGCATGCAGTGTGATTTGCAGATGAAGGCCCTCATTAGAAACTTCCTGATTTTCTGCTCTGTGTAAATGTTTTCCGGTGAATAAACTTCAGAACGTCCATGTCGAAGCCTAGAAAGAGAATCTCTGGGGAAGAAGTGAGGGATGATCTTTGTCCATCTTTATGGTTCTTACCTTCTGCTTGTGAGGAAGGGTCTCTTCCTACAAAGTAAGGCTCCCCACCACCCTTTGCTTCCTGAATACGCTGCTTTGTCTCCAGAGCTCTGACTCAGGGACTTGGGAACTCGTTAGCATAGATGAGATGACCTGTTGTTTTCACAAGGCTTTCTTGAATTCTGGAGGTGATCAATAAAGGAGAAGGGACAAGGTGCTCCAACCCTCTGGTTCATCACACAAAGCCCCTCGGTATTGTCTCATCTTGCTTCTACCCGAGGCTCACAGTCGTGGTTAATTTATTCTGTCTCTTAAAATGTAAATATTGACCCCCAGAATCACCTGTACTTCCTGTGTTCTTTCCCTCCAGCTTCCAGCCTAACTTGCATGTGCGGACACCCAGCTAACACATGAGGTTGTTTTCCTAGCATTCTGACTTCCCTCATAGCCAAAAGAACATTCCAATCCTGATGTCCAATTCACCCTAGAGCCTCCCCTTCAAATCCCACTTCTGGTTGTAAGGACATGCCTTTTCGCCAGGACCCAGATTCCTTGAATGAGCTCTCTCTACAGGCAGGACTTGCTCTTCACCCAGGGACATAGACTTTCCCTTGTAAAGCCATTCTGAGATATAAGTATCATTACTGTATGCACTTTACAAATCAATACACTGAGGAATAAATAGATTAAATGATTTTTTCAAAGTCACACATCTCACAAAGGATAGAGCCGGGATTTGAATCCAGATGAATTTGAGCACTAAGCCACGGTTATTCTTTGCTGTTTTCAGCAGTTTCAAGATTCTAATGCACATCTTATAATTCATGAAAAAAACAATCTCTCATAACTAACTCCAACCCTGCACTAATATATTTTGAAGCAGGCAACTTTTATTTATTAAGATCTCCAGATAAACCTGTTTAGGTTTGCTATTTATTACTGTACTTCTTGCTCTGAAATGGGACTGGCTGGTAACTTGAAAAATGAATGGAAAATTGTGTCGTTGTGCTCTGACTGGTTAAAATCCCTCCTTCTGGGCTGAAATGCTAGTGTACACTCTCAGTTCTTGTAGGCATTTATTCTGGAATTATTGTGCAGACCATTAAGTTTGGGGGTTTTCTCAGTCTTTGCAATTTCATAAGCTGTAGAGGCTCCATTGACCACAGAAGGCTGAGTAGTAAATGGATATGTATTGTGAATGGAATGCTTTTTGCTAAAAGAATCCCTGTAGAGAAAAGCAAAAAAAGGAGAATGTCAAACTTGATTCAGACCAACTAAGATCCTGTGAGCCCTCTGTTCAACTTTACAATATCTGCTAATGTCCCTTCTTTTCCAGAGTAGCTGTCAACTCCACCTTAAGATCACCCTGAGGAATGCTCGGTTCCCCTAAGACAGGCCTGGGGAGTGCCTAGGTCCTTTACACCTTACCTAGGTCCTTCCTAAGACCTCAGCTCCTCTGCTTCCTCAGGTCTACATAGCTGCCTATTCCTTGCTAACTCCTTGCTGCCTGTTTTTCTCTGTAACACCTTCAGACTGGCCCTTTAAATTACCATTTCTTTCTTTCTATGGCTGGACTTTTTAGCATTAATTCATGACAAGCTCACTGTAGGCAGGAGGCTGGCCCTTTACTTCCCATCCCTCAGCTCTCTCTTTTCTATGCTGGTCTCCATGGATTTCTCCCCCGCTACTTGTGTTTGGGCATAATCTATTGCCAAACTTTGGTAAGAAGCACTGACTTCCCTGAAGCAACCTCGCTAAAAGGACCCCTACGGTGTGTCCGGTCATAGGAACAAGGGTTTCTGACCTTTACGGCTCTCTTCAAGGCAGTCATTCTACCAGTGTGTTCATGTATATGTGTATACGTATGCAAGCATGTGTGTATGCGTGTGTATGTTATATGGATGCATGCATGCACGCATGCATGTGTAATGTGTGCATGTGTAAAAGTACATGTGTGTCTGAGTGCATACATGTGAGCACACGTACATAAGAGTGTGTTTGTGTGCCCATGTGCAGAGGTAGGGAAGACAGAGTGAGTGGGTGAACCCTTGACCAACTTTTCATCAACATGACTTGGTCAATCTTGGAGAAGCTCCTTGGGAAGCTTGTGGCACCAACACCTGAAATGCAGGAAGCTGGTTCAGAAAGTACTTGTAGGACAGAAAGAAACACATCAGAAGCAATTACTGGTGATTCAAGAGATGGTGGGAGATTAGAAAATTGCCAGCATCCTGGCATTTGCAAGGGTCACCAAGGGACAGTGAGTGAAAAACAAATATTTTTCAAGTTGTTTGGCAGCACTTTATCCCACTCGCTGGTGGATGTGGGGAGAAAGGGAAAGCAACCTCTCAGACACACTTACGTCCTCTGTGTGCCTCAGCAAGACTCATTTCAATTCTTTCTGGACACATGTTTGGAGTCACTTAAGGGGCAGTGGATGCAGCAACTGTAGTTCACTTCCCTAGTTCAAACTTTAGAGAGACCCTGAAGACATACCCTGATTTTCTTTGTTCAGCATGAATGTTAAAATCAAAAAGCTATGGACATTTCCAGGAAAAGCCAGCTGAAATATCAAATCAGCTGAAAATTCACAAATCCGGAAAACTAGAAATTGTCTCTATTTAAATGTATAAATACATTTTTTAAATAAAATGTAATGAGAAAACATAAAATGTCTGATCACAAACAATTATAAATGTAAGCTTACCCACAACTGCTCTCTGAGACGCATTTTTGCATCTCCCTGCCTCTTTCTCCTCCCTGCCTCCACCCTACACACCCACAGGCACATACTCATCAGTGCTCTGGGCCACACTGGTCTTTTTTCTACTCCATAGATATGTCCTGCACCCTCCTTTCTCAGGGGCCTTGCTGTCACTCTTCCATCTGCCTGGAATTATCTCCTCATTCTCCTTTTTTAGCTGACTATTGACCTCTGCACATTTCTTTAGCACACATCCTCCTGCAGAGAACTCACTCATTTGTGGTGTGATGATATCAGAATTTCTGGACTGATATTCAGATGTATACAGCTTCTTTACATGTATGAGCTTCTTTATTTTCTTGTGCTGAAGATCTCATTCTAGCTGATTGAAGGTGGAGTTTAAAATGTGACTAAAATTGTCTTGGTTCCTTTAAGTTTTGAACATTCTCTTTTTGATAAACTCAAAATCACATGATCTGAAAGACCAAAACAGATAACCCTTTGTCAACTAAGATGGACCCTAAGGTTGAGAAAACAAGGTTCCTATAGGTCGAGGGTTCAGGGCCCAGCTGGCAAGGCAAATTTCTACATTCTTAGGGTTTTAAATTCCCTAACAATAGGAATTATCAGACCCGTCCTAACTCTGACTTACAACCCAGGTCACTACAATTCTAACTGGACAGAGGACCAGCCTTAGAAACATTCTTTTCTGATAAGCAATTGCAGACTTTAAACCAGTTTCAGCAGCGTATAGAGGCTGTGCACAAATGATCTTTGTGTCATAAAGAATTCCACCCTATTTTAAGCAAAACCCTGCTCCAAAGTAAACATAGGATATATGTTACATGCATGTTTACTCACTGTGCCTGTGTTCGACTCCCCTCATAAATATGTACAGCTTTTCCCCCAAACCAACTAAATATATTTAATACCAACTTGTGAGCCATAAAACCCAAACTCCTTCCCTTCTTTGAAGACAGAGTACCTTTGATATACAATGGAAACTGTCCCTTCCCAGCCTGCAAACTAATATCACCAATAAAGCTCTTTTCTGCTATTTACCTATCCTGCTCATCTTTTGGATGACATTCAAATTATGTAAGTTTTTATTAGGTCTTTTTCTTCTCTCTTAAATGTATTCCCCCTCCCCCAGCCCTACCTAATAAGGTGTTTAGAGGTAGAAGAAGGTTTACATGTCCCCAAGGAACAAAGAAACCCAAAAGGTGATGTTAATGGAGTTAAAAAGAAATTATTTAGGCAGATAATGAGTGTAAGAAAGTCCTCGGTAAGGTTTTACTTTTAGTGAAAAGTAGCCCCCAAATTATTTTGTTATTATTATTATTTCTTTTTCTTGAGACAGAGTTTCACTCTTGTTGCCCAGGCTGGAGTGCAGTGGCGTGATCTCAGCTCACTGCAACCTCCACCTCCCGGGTTCAAGCAATTCTCCTGCCTCAGCCCCCTGAGTAGCTGGGATTACAGGCACATGCCACCATGCCCAGCTAATTTTTGTATTTTTAGTAAAGATGGAGTTTAAAAGCAGCCTTAAAAATCAAGCTGCAGACATAGTTGGAAGCTTGTACGGATGAAAACTGGCAGCTGTGCCCATAGAAGGCTACCTGGGGGCCAGCATGTTCAACCTGATGGCTCCATCTTCCCTTTTCTTTGTCAACCACGTGTACAGTAAGGAAGACAACATGGCCCAGGAAAGGTAGAGATCCCATTTGCATAGTAAAAGATTATGGTGGGATGGCCAGCTTCTTCACATGCTATGCAAATGTCACAACTGGTCCAACCAATTTCTCAGGCCCTATATAAATCAGACATTACTTCTTCAAGCTTGTCTGTAAAACCCCATGCATTCCACCATGAAACTGGAAGACCCACTTGGGAGCTCCTCTCTCTCTGTAGGAGAGAGAGCTATTCTTTGTTCTCTTTCTTTCGCCTATTATGCCTCCACTTTCAAAGTCACTACTTGTGCGTCCACGTCGTTGATTCCCTTGGTGTGAGACAACAATCCTCCAGTATTTACCCCAGACAATGACGCCACTTCACTGACTTGTCCCCAGCTGCCCTCAAGGTCCTCACTGGCCTCTCAGCCTCTTGTTCTGCCTGATGACCAGGCTTTCTGTACTAGTGTATATTCAGGTCAATCTGTGTTTTTCCAGGCTGTTGAATGTCATGCTACGTGCACTTCTGATGACTACAGATATTGCCATTGTCTTCAGCCATGATACTCCAACACTCTGCGGTCTCCTTGCCCATCCCAAGCCTCTTCTGGTCAGTGGCACTAAAGTACTGTAGTGGCAGTAAAGTACCATAGCATTGGGCATTGGAGCCAATTTGGGGATGAATCAGTCAGTTGAGGAATTCTCCAGCTAGAAGTAAGCACAGGGATCTGTATTCTGACTGTAAGAAAAAGAATCACCAAACCTGGTTCTTTGAGCATGGCACGTGGGTCACAGCATTTCCCAACTCCGGTGGCAGGTGCATGATCACAAACATTTCTTTGGACAGCCCAGTGCAACAGTGTCAACAGTCTCTTAGATTTGCTGGCAGGAACAGCAGCATGTTGGCACACTTCCGCACCCCTTTTTATCTAGAAGATGTGGTCAAATTTGCCAGTATCCAGAGGGCACTTTTGAGGGCTAACTTACACAGCACTATGAGAACAATGAGGACTGACCACCTGGAATCTGGGGCTTATTATAGGAATAAGAATCTGAGGATCAAAAAAAGACATTCTCAGCATAGCATTAGAGATTAAAATATGCCACCCCCAAACCTGCCACTTTGGCATAAGGATTATTTTGAGCTGAAAATATTTAAGATTCAATAAATGCAGTAAAAAGTCTTCCCATGGCTTCTCTTATCTGACTGAAAGCATAAACTTTTGAAATATGAAGGCAGCCACCAATCCTCTCTCCTGGGGAAGTTTTATGACCATGAAGAAGATGAAAGTCAGCCTTGAGATGGACCTTTGCAAACAAGTCTTACTCCATTTGTCCCCCCATATATGTACCTTCCCAGAGTTTGCCACCGTTGGAATCCCAAAATCTTTTCTTTTGTTCTTATCATTTCTCTGCAAATGCATTGTTTTTAGTTAAGATGCTATTAATACATCAGTCCAGGTTCTGGCCACCCTTCTGAGGGACTCATCACTGAGTTTCTCCTGTGTAGGTGTGCTGCATGTGTTAATGTTCTGATTTTCCTGTTAATCTGTCTTTTGTCAGTCTGATTTGCAAATTCATAGCTGGAAAACTTAGAAAAGTAGAAAAAAAGTGGGTTTTTTTCCCCTTCTCTACGATAGCAGTCATTTAATTCTAAATGATATTTACTACATATTCTTTCAGAAAACACTTGTTTTGACAGATTCTTGATATAGATTCAAAAGCAAACCCTGCCATTGAGGAGCTCACAGTGCAGTTGGGGGGATAGAAAGCAACTAAGATGTGATGTATGTATTGACAGAGTGCCATGGAAAAACTAGTTCTGGGGATGAGAGAAGTCTGCATACGCTTTCTAGAGTTTTAATTCCTATGCAGTGCTGTGTATGATATCTTGATTCAGGCAAGCATATGGTTAAATCACTGTTCTATCACTTACAGAAAATAAAACAAATCAGGTCGTAAATAAGGAAGGATTTTATTCCAAAGGATTATTGAATTAGGGGGAGACATATTATTGCAACTGCGGGACAGCAACTACTGCAGTAGGGAGAAGGCTCCCACCGTGAGATCTGCAAGTGCCTGAAAGGTTAGGCAGAAAAGGGCTTTTCCTGCATACGGAGGAATAAACAAAGATAGAAAGAAACAGGATGAATGGATAGAGGTGGCAGCTGTCATGATCTGACAGGTAATCGGAGAGGTTTTACCCAGAGTAGCACAGTCTCAGGAGGGGCCAGGAAGAGGGGCTGTATGCTGGCTCAGGTTAAGGGTAAATCAAAGTTCAGGGATGTTGGGAAAGAAATAAAGATTGAATAAAGTTTGTTCAAGTCATAGTAACAGGTATTTTAGTCTACACTTGTCAGTTGGTACAGTTTAGCTAGCTAGTCATTTATGGGGCAAAGAATAGAAATTTGGAGAGCCTGTGTCTGGCATTTTCATAAGTGAACAAGGTCGGGCATCTGAGTCTGGCCTAAGTCATATCAGGAAGGATGATCCTTCACAATAAGGCTGAAACACAAAGTGTGGGAAGATTTCTTAGTTTTTGCTGTTTTCCAGGAGCACAGGCTCAGATAAAATTTGATATTGTCATTGAGCCTCAATTTCTTCATAGGAAAATTGGGATTAAAATGGTTCCTTTGCCAGGGAGGTTGTGAAGATCATAGATGCAACTTGTATAAAGGAAGATAGCATGGTACCAGGCACATTTTAAGAGTCTAATAATAGCAGTCAAAAGTATTATTCTGATTCATTTTTGTTGTTGTTATTACTGCATTCTAGGCTTTGCTTTTATTAAAGCAATTTTATTATCTATTTTGCAACTAAATGCAACTAACCAGAGTCTATAGCAAAGCCTTTAGCAAAAAATCAAGTGTGTAATTAATCTTAATGTGACCTCACTACCATGCAGGAGAGAGCCAGTGGCACTGGAAGCATTTGACCAAACAAAGGACATACCAGTCAGATCTTAAACTAACTTTCGAACATGAGTTCATTCAATGCATTCCCTGGAACCCATGCAAAGTGATTTGCAATCTAAATGAGAACAGGCCACTGGAGTATAGAGGCTGGAGACTCCTTTGTGGGACTAAAGAGATGCCAACTCTCTGAGGGTTGTGCTTCTGGTTCTCCATGTGTACTCAGACTCCTGCTAATGTGACCGCAGTGGCTCTTTCTGGGAGCATTCAAATCCTCCCAGACCTTTCTGTCTCACATGGAGGATGGGGTTTCTCTTAACATCTTCTTATTGGTTTATAAAGGATTCCTTTGAGAATTTGTAAGGAGCCTTACATATTTCATGGGCTCATCTGCCTGTTTAATTATGTCTCCATGCAAAAAAGGCTTCTTGGCTAGGCATACATTTTACAATATGGTTACCTAAATATTTAAACAGCTGGGCTTCTCTGTATCATCAAGAACTGTGCCAGTCTTTCCTTAAGAGGAAAATCTCAAAATGAAGAAGCTGTGGAAACGCATGTATATTATAAGTAGATCTCCATGTATAAATAGATACATGATTTTTATTTTTAAAGCTAATTAAACCAAAAAAAAAAAAAAAAAAGAAAGACTGTCCTTTGCCTGGTCTGTTTGTGGAGCGAGTTTAATATGCTGTAATTGAGCTTTGGAGCAAAAGAGGCACAAATGAAAATCCGGATTTTATCATTTACCAACTGGACAAAACTATGAAAGTCATTTAGCCACCCTGAGCCTTATTTTCCTCCTTTTAAAAAATGAGAGTAATGATGGTGTAATTCCTAACTCCTGGAAATCACTAATCTGTTCTCCATTCCCTTAATTTTTTCATTTTGGGAATATTATATAGATGAAATCATATAGTATGTAATCTTTGGAGATTCATGCTTTTCACAACTTTATTGAGGTATTATTAACATACACATAGCTGCATATATAATATATGTACAACTTGATGAGTTAGGACGTAAGTATACAATGATGAAAGCGTCACCAGAATCTTTGTCATTAACATATCCATCACCTCTAAAAGTTTCCTCCCACTGTATTTATTATTATTGTTTTTATGTGTGATAATACTTAATATAAAATACATTCTCTTAGAAAATTTTTAAGTATATAACACACTATTGCTAACTATAGAAATTATGCTATGCAGTAGATCTCTAAGTCTTATTTGTGTCACATAATTGAAAGTTTTTATCCTTTAACTAATCGCTTCCCCATTGCCCCCTCCCCTGGATCCCTGGAAACCACTATTAACTCTGCTGCTCTGAGTTTGACTATTTTACGTTCCTCATACGAGTGGGATCACATAGTATTGTTCTTCTGTGTTTGGCTTATTTCACTTAGCCTAATGTCTTCTAGGTTCATCCATGTTGTTACAAATAGCAGAATTTTCTCCTTTTGTAAAGCTGTGTGATATATGCACACAATGGAATATATATGTGATAGGGATTCCACATGGATATATGGTATATATATCCATGATATGTAAATAAAACTATTTTTAAAGCTAATTAAACGAAAAAGAATGTCTGCCTTTTGCAGACATTTATCCATTCATCTGCGGATGAACACTTAGGTTAATTCCATATCTTGTCTATTGTGACTAGTACTGCAGTGAATGTGAGAGTGCAGCTGTCTCTTGGAAACCCTAATTTCAATTCCTTTGGATATATACCCAAAAGTTAGATTACTGAGTTATATAGTAGTTCTATTTTTAGTTTAAACCCAAAATAATCCCCTGAAGATTCATCCAGGTTAGTAATTATATTTTTTAAAATAAGAGTATAGCTGATTATTAAATCAACTTGATCCATCCAAGTCTTAGTAAAGAGTTAATTCCCTCCAGATGGTTCATGCAAAGGGACTTTAATGAAGAGATTAGTGCTAGAGGTGAGAGCAGCAGTAAAGAAGCCAACAAAGGTTGTGGACACACCTAGGGGTAAGACAACGTGGGAGCCATGGACATCCCCAAAGCTGAAGCAGAAGGGGAAAATATCACCTGACCAGAGCCCAGTGAGTGGCACAGCTGGAAAAGAAGGAGTGTTGTGGTGGGAGCAGGGATCAGGGAAAGACATAGCTACTGCAGATTGCAACTGGGAGAGCATGTCCTGACCTCTCTTCCTGCCCCCCAGATTTCTTGCCTAACTTTGGCTGAACCTAACAGGAGGCCAGCAGACCAGCAAATCCACACAAAGCAGTCTTTGGAAGCCAGCCTCTTTGGGCATAGAGCAAGGCAAAGAAGGGCACAGATCGATTTTAGGCCAAACAGCAAATAACCAGCACAACAAATAGTGATGTAAATTTGTTCATTCAACAAATTTTTTTTAATGTCCACTATTTGCAAGGCTCAATTCTCAACATTGAAGGAGCATAGTAAACTAGAACAATAGAGCTTTTGTCTTTAATTTCTAGTAGGCAGAGACAACCAATAGATATGTATATTTATAGATATTATAACATATTTACTGATGTAAATGCTATAAAGAAATGAGAAAGATGATTTTGGAAAAAGAAGGCACACTGCTGAAGTGATGCCTTTGAGTAGGGAGGAGGAAGAGGTGATGGGATCTAATGCTCAAGAGATGTGGTGGCCTTAAATAGGGACATGGGCAGTGCATCCATAATACCAGCCTGAGAGGCAAAATCAGTGGGTACAGAGAAGTGTAGGATTGCAGACGCAGTGGATGGAACACACAGGAGTTCTGTTCTGTTGGTTTATTTTCTCAGTGAAAATGAAGCAAGCTCAGAGGAAGGATATTAAAAAGGAGTTGGAGGTTTTAGGAAAGAAAAGATGTGATAAAGTATCTAGGAGAGTTGAAGTGTAAATGGACTAAGTCATAGGAGTCTTTTAAAAATTCTTGCCCAGGCTGTATCCCAGACCAATTAAATCACAATCACAAGGAGTGAAACACAGGCATGAGCAATTTTTGAAGCTCCACAGTTGACATTAATGTGCAGAGAAGTTTGGCAATCACTGGACTGTGGAAAAGAAGCATGACAGTTTGGCAACACAGAGGTTAGAGGTCATGACTTTAATGTGAGACCAGTCAACATGGTCATTTTTTTCTCACCAGTTTCAGTGGCATGTATGTAGGTATAGAGTGGACTGTGGCTTATATTTAACCATGGTTGAGTTTAACTAGATAAAGATGATGGACAGAGAGGAAGACAAGAGAGCTCAGGTGTATGGTAAAAAATTGATGAATATGATGAAATCTGGGCTGTTGGCTGGGAAAGAAAGGACTTGCCCGTGACAGTAACAAGTCAGCAGGATAAGTCTGTAGGCTCCTATGAGGTAAAATTTCTGGAGCTGCTGTACTAGAAGGAGTGAGCTGGAAAAGTAGAAGATGGTGATCAGATTTTAGTGTACGTGGAACTGAGATTGTGGAGTGGGTACAATTCCTGGTAATGCTAAATTTCAGAGCATGAGCACATGAGTTGGTGGCTGATAAGGGCTAAAAGACAGAATATTAAGGAGAGCAGGTTAAAGAACGAAAAGTTTAATACATTATAGAGTCCTATGGGTAGCTGCTGAAATCCTCAAGAAATATGTCATGAATAGTATTAGAAAGAGAGGCATTAAGCCAGATGCAAAAAAAAAATGTTATATTTAAATGTAATGTGTGTTGGAGCAAATCTGAAAGAAACGTTCCATTGTCTATATGGAACTATAGAGCAGTGATTAGAAATAGATTTTTGGGGCCCATCTGACCTGATACTGGTTATACCACTTAAGCCTTGTGCTCATGATTTAACCTCTTTGAGACCCAATTTATTCATGAATCAATATGATGATAATATCTTTCTAATCAGCTTTTTATTAGAAGTTAACTGATGTAGAGCCTGGAAAGTGCTTAGCACCTTGCCTGGCATTACCACGTGGATTTTCTTAATTATCCCTGATTGTTCTCAGTCTGCAGTGACTCCTGGCTCGCACCAAGAGCAAAGTTCTCAAACTCGAATGTGCATCAGAATTATCCTGAGGGCTTGTAAAACATATTGGCCAGCCTCAATCCCAGCATTCTTGATATATGGTGGAGCCCAAGAATTTGCATTCCTAAAGTGTTCCCAGGTGAGGCTGATTCTGCTGGGCTGGGGGGCCACATTTTGAGAACCACTGCTGGGGTGTGGACCCTAGAAGCTGTGCTCTAACAAGCCTCCATGTGACTTTCATTATAAGCTCAAGTTTGAGAACTGCTCTAAAGATTAGTAAAGCTAATACACTTACTCCTTGTTGCCTGGTTCATCTCAGTATGTCTCTAAATCTTTAGGTCACAGTGGCATCAAAATTTTCCTTTCCCCTGCCTCCAGGAAAAATTGATTTATCTGTTTCTCCTCAGGCCCTTTCTTGCTTAGTTGCCTAAATAATTTTCCACATGACTTGGTAAAAATTGGAAAAGAATGTTTCTCACCAAATGGATTTAAGTGATTTTTCAGGCTTTTAAAGGAAACATGCTTTTAACTTCCATCAGTTTCTAATGCCAGAAATGATAAGATTTAATCATCAGAGGCTCTACCATGGGCTGTCCATTATATGGGGGACAAAAAAAATCTGAAATTTGAAAATAAAAATGCTGGTGTCATATCCTTTCAATATCTTATAGAAGTGAAGATCATTCAAAGATTCTACAGGAGAATATAATTAGTTCATCTCATAGTTTAATAGTCGTTAAAAATTACAGATTCAATGAAGTTATTTGTAAACATGTATTTTTGTCCAGAAGAGATGCAAATAATTTTCATCCAAAGGAATAGATTATCCCTAAAATTTATAGTCTACTGGACAGTAAACAGTTTATTTAAGAGTAACAATTTTTAACACTTGTTAAATTGCCTATAAACACTCCTAGTTTTTAAATTTTTTTAGAACTAGCCACATCTTGCTGTTTCCCTCATTAGTTAATAAATTTTAAAGTCTTTGACGTGTGCTCATTTTATATTTGCCTGAGAGTCATGATTTGGCGTATCTGAAAATTATACTTTAACACTCTTCACTGAATAACCCATTTGAAATTGTCTTGAGAGAACTAGGCTTAAAACGTGGTGCACATGATCACTCTGTGGCATAAATGTACCACCACTAGTTAAATTTTACTGTAATCAATTCAAAAATCCATTGTAGCAAAGGACAACAAAATGCACCAGGATCGGAAAGCAAAGAACCATGGTTTCCCGGGTCACCCTGGTTTCCTCACAGGAGAGGTACTCAGGTAGTGGCTATTCAGGTGTCCTGCCTTTCCAGGACAAAGTCCTGCCGGAATGCAAGAATGCCAGGGTGAGTGATCCTATCACCTGCAACTTTTTTGCTAAGCCATCTCCCTGGGCTAGGATGAAGTTCTGGTAGCTTCTGACTATGTAACTTCTGGTATCCTCTTGCTGTACTGTCTTGGGGTTCTATTTAGTAACCACTCATCACACATGTCTGGTCACATTGTAACCATGCAGCAATGGCCAGCCAGGGTCGTCCACTGGAATCTCCTGCATTATAAGGAGCATGGCAGGTTCAGCCACACTATTTCTATCCACTCGTCTCTTAATCAAATTCAGATTCCCAGGTGAAGTGAACACTTTTTAAACAAATATACGAAATTCCACAATGGAGAATGCTCATTAAAACCTTATTGTCTGAAATACAAATTAGCTATGATTTCAGAAAATGAGAATATCAATCCAAAGAACATTTGAGAAAAGGAAATTATTTATTTCAAAATAAATTTCAAAATTCAGAAAAAAATACAGGGCTAAAAATTAGTAAAAGTAATGAATAATCCAAAATATGGTTTTTATGAAGTCAAAATAAAAAAATATATAATTAAGTTTAATCAAAATAAGACATCACCATTACAAAGGGTATATCATACATCGTAATGGATAAAATGATTAAATTATAATGGATTTCTCTCACAGTTTTGTGATAAATTTAGAAATAGCAATGAAAGGGATCATATTCTGTAAAACAGACCAACAAGTACTAGAATAACAGCAAAACTAACATCAAAATTAACATAGTAAGAGGTAAAAAACCTGAACAGAGCAACTGAGAAAATAAAGTTGTTAAAGATTATCCACAGCAATGAAGGTGAACAGTGTGAGAGGGATTTTCCACATTATTCTTTAGCAATTTCAGTGTCAACTATTCATTCCAAGTCAAGGATCAAAAAGATAGTTACCCGTTATAATTACAAGGCAATGGCTAACTCAATCCTTAGAGCTGCTGAAGTTTTTACAAAATTAGAAGTGAATTGATTGTAGTTAGCTGTAGATATGACAATCTAAATAAACTACTCTAAATTAAGCAATATAATAGGAAAGTAATAAATCAAATTGGGAATCCAACCCCAATGCAATATTTAACAATTCATAAATATTACACAGTAAATCAGTAACTTAAAGAAAACAAATTATATCATTTTTATAGGCATGTAAAAGAAATTTGGGTGATTCTTAACTCATGCCAATAAATAAATATTTTTTAAAAGACAGCATTCTTTAAGTTTTTTTAAATTTTTTTAAATTAGAAATATCTTTGTTTTCTGAATAAAAACATACAAACATTGTTTATAGAGCTGTGATGTCACAGATGCAGGTGGGTTGACCCACAGCCTCTGGGTCTTCCAGTTGGTGCCTGAGTTTCTACAAGCAGGATACTTATTCATCAACAATTTATATAGAGTGGTTCCAGTACCAGAAGAAGACTATGCAGGTAGAGGCAGCAGCCCATTGAGGTATCTGTGGAACTGAGAAAAGTCCAGAGGGATAACCAAATATTGACAGGAGAAAGATGAGCACTTTTCCTGGTGATACTATTTTGCCACTGGCAAGGCCAACTCCAAGTTACCCAAGCTACTAGTAAACTTCTTTCTGAGGAAAATATCACCACCACTCTCTCCATTGAAGGTAAAAACTAGACTAGTTTGATTCTAAAATGTATGTAGGTTCCAGGCAGAATCATCTGTGGTATTATTCTACTTACATGTGTTTAGACATTTACCAAAGCTACATCCAGATCATTAAACAGAGTCCTGGAAGGTGCTATAACAACATCCTCTATTCTGTCACCATCTCCTCAAACTCACTGTAATGGGGAAAAAAAAGGCCTCTAGGGAATAGTGCAGGTAATAGCTTAGCTTATGACTTGGTTATGTGTCAATGTATTCCCTATCACCTTTGCTTGCATTTCCTTATACAGCATCTTTAGAATATGGTTATAGTCTTACCTGGGCATGTAAAAATGTTTATTGTGACAAGATTACTAATCCCCCGTTAAAAACAGGTAAGCAGGGTTTTCTTCTCCTTAATTTTTGTATATGTAAGAATGAATTTCATGTTTTCTTCTTTCTTCATCTTTTGCAAATACATACCTGGTAATATCTACAATAACGATGGCCTAAACAAACAAATTGAAATAGACCAGAAAGCAAAAGTTGTTCCACAGTTTGTGAGTTCCTAGGATCTATGAAATATCTAGAGTTAAGAGAAACATTACTAGTAAAAGCAATGAACAAACTCAAGTTGCATTCGATGCAAAAGAACTGAGGGTCTTTATTAACATATAACTAATATCCAGAAGGAAACTGTGTGGAGATCTAACACAGCTGGTGGTCGAGGTCAGATCTGGCTGGTTATCAGTCATGGCCCCATGCCCCAGTAATGCTGAAGAAGTTGTAAGAATTACATTAATCTTCAAGTCGAAAGAACTTTTAAACAGACTATGTATATTTTGTCCAAAGAGACACAATTATATGCTACATTTAAACCTTATATCTAAGAAAAACACCAAAATTGCTCTGATTATTGAGACACAATTTAAAAGATCTTTCAGGTTGCCAAGAAAATAGTTGAAAATGAGAAACTGGATGCTATGATTGAAGAGTGCAGAAAACTAGACAAAATTGAAATTTTTCAATTTATGAGAGCAAGTCTGTGTAAAGGACTGTGAAAGGCTAATTGAAAAATGTTTTTCTTACAGGGGAAGAAGACAATCAGAATGACATGGCTACAATTGTTAATCTTTACATTTTGTAGCAAAGGCAAAGAAGTCTCATTTGGTATAAAATTTTCCAATTAATATTTAATTAACTTGGGGAATAAAAAGAAAAGAAGGAAGGAGGCAGGAAAGACAGCTCATAAGAAAAACATTACAATATAGAAGTATCAAAGCAGAAACTCAAAGTATGTCACAACTTTACCTCACCTCTACCTCGAAAGAACAATTGTGTAATAATTGGATATTAATATGTTTAACTTGCATAGGATAAATTTACATTTTATACAGTATAACTGATGTATGTTCCATATATAATATGCTAATTTTTTTCTGTTTTTATTACACAAAAAGAGTCTCACAACATAGATAAGGTTCCCTAATGTTATTTTTTTATTTTAAAATGTATCATGGACTTGTGCTGGTGGGAAGAAAAAGTAAATATACTTTTCCCAATTCTCCCATTATTACAGCTAAAAATCCTGGATATTATATAGATATAACACAACATAAGAAGACTCTGAAAGATGGAAAGAATGCAGACTGGCTGGATGCACCTGTAATCCTAGTGGCTCACACCTGTAATCCTAGCACTTTGGGTGGCTGAGGTGGGCAGATAACTTGAGGTCAGGAGTTCGAGACCAGCCTGGCCAACATGTTGAAACCCCATCTCTACTAAAAATACAAAAATTAGCTGGGCATGGCAGCAAGTGCCTGTAATCCCAGCTACTCGGGAGGCTGAGGCAGGAGAATTGCTTGAACCTGGGAGGCGAAGGTTGTAGTGAGCCGAGATCCTGCCATTGCGCTTCAGCCTGGGTGACAGAGCAAGACTCCAACTGTAAAAAAAAAAAAAAAAAAAAAAATGCAGACTTCGGGACCTCAGGATCCAAAGACCAACATGGTGGTTCTCACTGTATGTTTTGTTTTCGTTTGTCTCCTATAGCCTACACTTGGAGCCCAGAAACACCAACAGGCAATGAGAAAAAAAAGAAAACCTACTTTCTCTACCTAAAGCACAAAGGAAGGAACAGCACAGACAGGCAGAAACCTTTTCAACAATAATTGTTCTACCCTAAAAAACCCCAAAGAAAAATCTGCGGCACACTCCCACCTTTGCCAGCAAAGACTAAGTGGGGAGCCTAGACTTCTGCGATGAAGCACCCCAACACAACCTCTGCATATTTTACTTCGACAACATAGAAAAATGAACCAATTCCTTGAAAAATCAAGCTAATACAACATAAAATAGATAATTTGATAACCTATAGCAACTATGAAAACTGAATTTGTAACTAAAAATCTCCCCCAAAAAATCTCCAAGATCAGATAGGTTCATTGGAGAATTCAACCAAATGTTTAAGGAAAAATTAACACCAATTCTGTACAAACTCTGCCAAAAATAGAGAGATGAGAAGACTTTCCAATTGATTTTATGAAGCTAACATTATTCTAATATCACCACCAGACAAGGACAATATAAATAAATAAATAAATAAATAAATAAATAAATAAATAAATACAAAACTACAGACCAATAACTCTCACAAATGTAGAAGTAAATAACTTTAACAAAGCAGAATTCAGTGAAATATATATAAAGACTAAGTGGGGTTTATTTTAAGAATGCCAAGGCGGTTCAATATGCCAATATCAATTAATTTAATCCACCATATTAACAGGCTAAAGAAGAAAAAAAAAACACATCAATCAATGCAGAAAAAAGCATCTGACAAAATTTAACACCCATTCATGATAAAATCTCTCAAAAAAATAGGGATACAGGGGAACCACCTCAATTTCATAAAGAAGATCTACACAAAAGCTGTCCTATCATTATATTTAATGGTAAGAGACTGAATGTTTCCTCCCTAAGCCTGGGAAAAAGTCAAGGATACCTGCTTTCACCACTGTTAGTCAACCTAATGCTTGAATTTCTAGTGAGTGCAATAGTAAAATAAAAAGAAATAAAAGAGGTACAAGTTAGAAAGGAAGAAATGAAACTATTTCTGTTAGCAGATGCCATTATTACATACATAGAAAATCTCAAGGATTCTACCAAAAAAAATAGAAATAATAAGTGAGTTCACTAAGGTCATGGGATATAAAATAAGCATACAAAAATCAATTGTATTTTTATATACCATCAATAGACATGTCGTCATTGAAATTACAAATTTGATACCATTTACAATTTCTTAAAAATGTGAAATATTTAGATGTAAATCTAACAAGACATCTCCAGGACTTACATGCTTAAAACTACAAAGCACTGATTTGAAAACAAAATCACCAAATGTCTAAATAAATAAAGAGACATACTGGGTCCATGTATTGGAACACCACGCAGTACAGATGTCAGTTCTTCCTCAAATTGATAGGTAGGTTTGATGAACTCCCTATCAAACTTACAGCATGATTTTTCTATATATACACAAACTTCTTCTAAAATTTATATGGAAAAGATCAGGAACTACAACAGTTAAAATAATTGTGTAAAGAATAATAAATTGAAGGTAATCAGCCTGTCCAATTTCAAGACATTGTATAACTATGGCAGTCAAGACTATATGAAACTGGCAGAGGCATGGCCACATAAATCAATAGAAAAGGATAGAAAACTCGTAAACACACACACACATATATGCCTAAATGTTCTTGAAAAAAGTGCAAAGGGAATTTTATTGCTTCATCCACTGGTGTTGGACAAAATGCACCAGTATATGCAATACAAAGCTTGACTTAAATCTCACACCTAAAAAAAAATTAGCTCAAAATTAATCACAGATTTAAACTTAAAACCTAAAACTACAAAACTTTTAGAAAAAGAAAAGAGAAAATTTTGGAGATCTAGATCTACCTAAAGCATTCTTCAACTTGAAATCCAAAGTGTGATTTATAAAATTAAAAATTACACTTTTTTAAACTGATAAACTTTATTAAATTGATAAACTGCACTTTATTAAATTTTTAAAAATTTGTTCTGTGAAATTATATTAAGATGATTATAAATTAAGCTACAGAGTGGGGAGAAATATTTACACACCACATAAGTGACAAAGACTCACATCTGGAGTATATAAATAACTCTCAAAACTCAACAGTAAAAAAAAATCCAATTAGAACATAAGCAAAAAAATTGAGATATTTCACTGAAAAAGATATACAGATGCAAAAAAGTACATAAAGAAATGTTCAACTTTATTAATCATTAAGGAAATGAAAATAAAAACCAAACAAATATTACTACATACCTCTCAAAATGACTTAAATAAAAAATAATGGCTGGGCGTGGTGGCTCACTCTTATAATCCCAGCATTTTGGGAGGCCGAGGCAGGCGGATTGTTTGAGGTTAGAAATTTGAGACCATCCTGGCCAACATGGTGAAACCCTGTCTCTACTAAAAATATGAAAATTAGCTGGGTGTGGTGGTGGGCACCTGTAATCCCGCTACTTGGGAGGCTGAGACAGGAGAATTGCTTGAACCCAGGAGGCAGAGGTTGCAGTGAGCCAAGATCACGCCATTGCACTCCAGCCTGGGTGACAAGAAACTCCATTTCAATAATAATAATAATAATGACAACACCAAATGCCAGCAAGGATGTGGAGAAACAATCACTCATACATTTATGGTGGGAATGGAAGAAGGTATAGCCACTCTAGGAAAAAAAAAATCTTGGCGGTCTTATAAAATTAAACATGCAACTACCACGCAACCCAGTAAATGCACTCTTGGGCAATTTATACTAGAAAAATGAAAACGTATGTTCACACAAATACTTGTATGTGAATGTTTATAGCAGCTTTCTTTGTAATAGCTCAAAACTATAAATATCATCCCTGATGTTCTTCAACAGATGACTGGTTAAATAAACTGTGGTATATCCATACTATGAAATACTACCCACTAATAAAAAGGAGCAAGTTATTAAAATATGCAACAAACTGGAGAATTACCAGAAAATTGAATTATGCTGAGTGAAAAAAAAGCCAATTCCAAATGTTTACATACCACAGTAAATTTTGTGTGTGTATGTGTACACATATACATACATATACAAAATCATACTATTTTGTATATGAAATACCTCACAAAATTATAAAATGGAGAACAATTTATTGGTTGCTATGGGTTAAAGAGAGGTGAGGTAAGAGGAAAGTGGGGATGACCATAGAAGAGCAACATGAAGGATCCTTTTAATGATGGAGTGTTCTGAATATTGACTATATCAATGTCAATACCCTGGCCATGGTATTGGACTATAGTTTTGCAAAATGTTATTATTGGTAGAAACTGGGTAAAGGGTACAAAAGATCATCTGTATTATTTTTAATAGCTATATGAACCTAATATTATCTCAAAATAAAAAGTTTAATTTTTATTAAACTTTTTTAAAACTTTAATTAGCAGAAAATAATAATCAAGAAGTTAATTGTAATATTAAATTTTTCCTTATCTCTCTAAGATTAGACCCAGGAATGGAACTATCTCTCATATACACTTCCTCTCTCTTGCAGAGAGGCATTCAGATATGTATCATATAAGATTTGCAATAATATGCTATGTTCCAGATTTTCTTAATTTCAAATTTTTTTTCCTTTTGTACTCATAACATCTTTGTATAATATTAAAATTTTTCTTTTCATTTTTCCTGGTAACCCAGTGCTTATTGAAGAAATGTAGGCTCTCTCTCTCTCAGTTCACAGACACCAATATTTCCTGCGAAATGGTTCCACAAATCCCTATACTTTTCTTTATCATGTATTTCTTTATCTCTAATGATACTCAAGTCTTCAGGAACCCAAAGAGAAGCATTATAATCTTCCAAGTACTGTTCCCCAGAAGCCTGCATTCTTCAGTTTTTTTAATTCTCTAGGCCTTAACATTTACGACCTTAATGAAAGTATTAAAAAAGTTATTTTCTTTTGTTTTTTTTAAATTTTATTATTATTATACTTTAAGTTTTAGGGTACATGTGCACAATGTGCAGGTTTGTTACATATGTATACATGTGCCATGTTGGTGTGCTGCACCCATTAACTTGTCATTTAGCATTAGGTATATCTCCTAATGCTATCCCTCCCCCCTCCCCCCACCCCACAACAGTCCCCAGTGTGTGATGTTCCCCTTTCTGTGTCCATGTGTTCTCATTGTTCAGTTCCCACCTATGAATGAGAACATGCAGTGTTTGTTTTTTTGTCCTTGCGATAGTTTGCTGAGAATGATGGTTTCCAGTTTCATCCATGTCCCTACAAAGGACATGAACTCATCATTTTTATGGCTGCATAGTATTCCACGGTGTATATGTGCCACATTTTCTTAATCCAGTCTATCGTTGTTGGACATTTAGGTTGGTTCCAAGTCTTTGCTATTGTGAATAGTGCTGCTATAAACATACATGTGCATGTGTCTTTATAGCATCATGATTTATAATCCTTTGGGTATATACCCAGTAATGGGATGGCTGGGTCACATGGTATTTCTAGCTCTAGATCCCTGAGGAATCGCCACACTGACTTCCACAATGTATAATTTATTTTCCTGATAAAGTAGGGCTTAACTGGTAAGGATTTGTGATGAGTGTTGGTACCCAAATCTATCCCTCATGTCTCCTTCTCTTCAGAAGCCTTGGGGAAGATACCCACAAACAGTAATGGCCAGTGAAAAACAAAGTGCTACCTTTTTCAGCATTGGAAAAGCACTTCACACCCCAGTCAGTGCTCTGTTATAAAAGCCCCTCAGTGAAACATGGTAGAGACCAAAATACCTCAGTCATGCCTCTTGCTTCTCCCACCTAGGCCCTTCAGAAAGAGCATGATCTTACAAATACATCTACCAGAGCTGGATAAGCCATAACCAAGATGCTAGGATGGTAGTGCTCACCTTGAAGAAGCAATGAAACTGGCTTAATATGAGAACTTACCAAAATTGCAGCTAAAAAGGTCATTAACTTGTTCTCTTAGGTGTTTAATTGTTTAATACTAAACAATCTTTTTATTCTCATTATCTAAGATTAATTAGGTAAACAAACCAGAACTATTAATATATTTTTCCCAAAGAAAGTTGTTGGAGGAAATGACTGTCAACACTTTATTTGACTTACTCAATTTACTTTTAGCAATAATAAAGCATTTGGAAATTTTCAAGCAGAAGCCATTATAGGCAATAGAGAATTTATCAAAGTAAAACTCTAGACTGGATTAAGAAAATGTGGCACATATACACCATGGAATACTATGCAGCCATAAAAAATGATGAGTTCATGTCCTTTGTAGGGACATGGATGAAATTGGAAACCATCATTCTCAGTAAACTATCGCAAGAACAAAAAACCAAACACCGCATATTCTCACTCATAGGTGGGAATTGAACAATGAGATCACATGGACACAGGAAGGGGAATATCACACTCTGGGGACTGTGGTGGGGTCGGGGGAGGGGGGAGGGATAGCATTGGGAGATATACCTAATGCTAGATGACACGTTAGTGGGTGCAGCGCACCAGCATGGCACATGTATACATATGTAACTAACCTGCACAATGTGCACATGTACCCTAAAACTTAGAGTATAATAACAAAAAAAAAAAACATTAAAAAAAAATATTAAATAGAAGCCTTAGGGAATATTTTCAGCATCATGCAAGACAAAGACGTCTACTTTCACCATTACTCTGGAACAGCATTATACTAGAAATCCTAGCCAATGTATAAGTTAAGTAAAAGGAATAAGTTGGATCAGAATGAGAAGAGAGTATTTTCAATATTTTCACATTGTATTCTATGTATTTCTGAGTAACTAAAGCAATCACCATGGTTCAAAATTCAGGTAGAAAGAAGTACGTAGTAAAACATCTCTCTCCCATCCCTATCTCAGGTCTGTTTCCTTCCCTGGAAAAGCTATATTACTAGACTTTTTCTTATATTTCTAAATATAGTTTATATACACGTATTCAGGAAATATTTCTCTTTTTTTGAGACAGGGTCTCACTCTGTCACCCCAGCTGAAGTTCAGTGGCACAATCTCTGCTCGCTGCAGTTTTAACTTCCCAGGCTCAGATGATTCTCCTACCTTAGCCTCCTGAGTAGCTAGGACTACAGGTGTATGCCACCATGCCTTGCTAATTTTTTGTATTGAAAGATTATTTCTAATGATACACTTCATATTTGAGCAGCAATAAGTTTTCTCCCTGTGGCAGATTCCAATTCAAATGGTGGCTGGTGCTTAGAGTTGCTCTAAGGTGAACACTCCAAATAATGCCAAGTCTGAACTGAGAGAAATGATTTATGCGGTTAGCAACGTCTCCTATGGGCAAGATAGCCAGTGTGTGTCAACCTGCAGCATATTTTATATTCCTGGATTGTCATTCATTAGTTATTAGGGGAACTAAGCAAAATATAGCATCTCCAAGAGACCAACACACAACTTACAATAGTTAAGACAAACTAAAAAGCATAATATAAACCAAGAAAGTCAGATAAACATCCATACCTGTGATTGTCAGCTGGATGACTTCAATTTCCCCTTCCTTAACAGAAGCCAGGAAAAGGATGACAAAGGGAAATGATTGTTGAGAGGAAGTTGTCTTCTGTCTATAGAAAGAGACAAAAGAATGCTAAGAGACTCGGAAGCATTCCCTGCCCTAGATACTCCAGGATTTATAGATAATAAGAGAAATGGCAGCCCTCTGCCCAGTTCCAGGGACTTCTGTCTTTGTGTAACTGTACCCGCCCCATAACTATCAGGACCCCTTGTATCTTCCTGGACCCGTGACTTGTGCAGTTCAAATGCTGTCTTTAAAAATCTCTAAAATAAACTTAGAGCCAAAAATTAAGTAAGTTTACTCCAAGGACCCATGTGCCCCAGAACAATAATTCATGTCTTTTTCTATTTTACAGCTAAAATTATACCTAGATGTATTGTCCAAATGAGTTTATCAACAGGCATCACAGTGAATACCTCATAGGAGCATGGCCCAAATTCAATAGAAGGCATTTAAATTAGTCCAGAAAAATAGGCAATATTCAATATGCTAATTATCAGGTTTCTAGTGAAATAAAAATCCAAAGTTAAACACATTTTCTTATAAATTTGGCAATTTATAAGAATTTGTTATAATGAGTTAAATCTCAGAATTTGCTACAATGAGTTAGATCCTTGAACAAATCTAAATCACTCCAATCTCACATCTGAGTCTCACTTTTTAATGTATCAACAAGATAGATAAGATTATCCCATATTTATCTGAGACCCACAAAACTATGGACCTAGAACCAAGACACTTAGTAAAGCACTAGGTTTGTTAAATGACAGGATATTTCCAGTCATATCCAGTCATATGTCACAAGACTGTAATGGTGGGAAAGGTGAAACAAAGAGAACAAAATAAATGCCTGTTTTTACCACTTCTATTCAATGTAGTACTGCCAGGGCAATTAGGCAAAGGAAATAAGAAATAAAAGGCATCAAATTTGGAAAAGATTAAGTAGTTATCTCTGTTCATACCCACACAACTGCTAAAACTAAATAAAATAATTCTGCAAAGTTACTCACAAAAATTATTTGTTTTCATACACTAACAATAAAAACTCCAAAAAAGAAATTAAGAAAGCAATTTGATTTACAATGGCATCGTAAAGAACAAAATACTTAAGAATAAACTTAACCAAAGAAGTGACGAAAAACTTACACATTGAAAACTACAAAATGCTGCTGAACATAATTAAATATAGCACAAATAAGTTGAATGACATCTCATGATCAAGGATTGGAAAACTTAATATTTTTCAAATGTTGATACTACCCAAAGCATTTCACAGATTTAATGCAATCCCTATCAAAATTTCAGACTTTTTTTGCAGAAATAGAAAAGTTTATCCTAAAATTTATACGAACTCTCAAGGGACCACAAATAGCCAAAACAATCTTGAAAAAGAACAAAGTCGGAGGCCTCACACTTTCTGATTTTAAAACTTACTACTAAGCTACAATAATCAAAACAGTGTGGTACTGACATAAAGACAGACAGACGCATAGACCAAGGCAATAGAATAGACAGCCCACACACACATACTCAAATGATTTTCAGCAAAGATTCCAAGACCATTCAGTGGGAAAGGAGCAGTCTTTTCAACAAATGGTGTTGGGAAAACTGGATAGCCACATGCAAACGAATGATGTTGGATTTTTTGAGACAGAGTCTCACTCTGTCACCCAGGCTGGAGTGTGGTGGTGTGATCTTGGCTCACTGCGGCCTCCACCTCCGGGATTCTAGCATTTCTCTTGCCTCAGCCTCCCAGGTAGCTGGGATTACAGGCACGTGCCACCACACCCACAGCTAATTTTTGTATTTTTACTAGAGACGGGATTTCACCATGTTGGCCAGGCCAGTCTTGAATTCCTGACCTCAGGTGATCCTCCCACCTCAGCCTCTCAAAGTGTTAGGATTACAGTCATGAGCCACTGCGCCAGGCCTTAAAAATGGACAAAAATCTTAAATATAAATTTCTTTAAAGAAGATATAGAAATGATTATTAAGCACATGAAAAGATGCTCAATATTACTAATCATTACAGAAATGCAAATCAAAACCATTATTAGAATGCCTATTATAAAACAAAACAAATGTTGGTGAGATTGTAGAGAAATCGAAGGCCTGCATAGTATTGGTGGAAATGTAAAATTGATCAGCTTCTGTGGAAAATAGTGTGGAAGTTATTCACAAAATTAAGTGTAAAATTACCATATGATCTTGCAATCCCATACCTGAATGTAACCCAAAAGCATTGTAAGAATGGTCTGGAACAGATATTTATACACTCTTATTCATAGCAGCATTATTCATAATGGCCCAAAGGTAGAATTAACCTTAGTGTCTATCACTAAGGTTGAATGATGGATTAATTGATAAACGAAACGTGGCATATACATATACAGAAATATTATTCATCCTTAAAAAGTAAGGAAATCCATGGATAGACCTTGAAGACATTATGCTTGGTTAAATAAGTCTCAAACGGGCACATATGATTCCAATCATATGATGTCCCTAGAATAGTCAAATTTATAGAAACAAAATATAGAATGGTATTTTTCAGGAGCAAGAGGAAGAGGATGATGGAGAA
Organism: Homo sapiens; assembly: GCF_000001405.40. Lineage (NCBI taxonomy): Eukaryota > Metazoa > Chordata > Mammalia > Primates > Hominidae > Homo > Homo sapiens. The sequence continues at coordinate 83,722,246 of NC_000010.11, forward strand.
TCGTTAATGGGTACAGAGTTTCAATTAAAAAGATAGGTTCTGGAGATGGCTAGTGGTAAGGGTTGCTCAACAATGGGAATGTATTTAATGCCACTGAATTGTACACTTAAAAATAGTTAAAATGGAAAATTTTATGTTGTGTATATATTATCTATTTTCATGTACATATATAAAAATTGTATACATATATTCTTTATTTAAAAGAGAGAGTGAGCAAAGGATGAAAGCAGCTTCCTTCCAGGCTTGCCAGGAAGCCCACCACTGTCAGTATCTCAGATTCTAAACCTTTGAACTTAGTGCTAGGAGTGAGAAAGCTTCCTTCATGGGGTAGATTGGAGTGGCATATGGGCTTTTAAAGCACAAGAACTTCTTAAGTCCCTATAGGTACTTCTGTAGGTACTCCCTGAGCCTGCACCTTTAGAGACCCAAAATGTGATGCAAAGACTTACAATTCATATTCTTCAGACCTCACAATGTTTGGTTTTCATGCCTAGCCAAAAAAAGGTGAAAAAAAGCAAGAAATCCTACTTAATTTATATCTACCATGCCCATTGCTCTGCTCATTAATTTACTGATTACACTAATATTTTTCAAATGTGCATATCATGCTCAAAAAAGATAAAAATTATAACCCACAGGTAGCTTATATTTTAAAGGACAGACAGCTAATATTAAAATTAGACTCACGACTTACTATGTAATCTACAACGCCTAGTGCCAACTGAAAATGCAGGACCTGTAGTTCAAAGTTATTAAGAATTTCAAGTTGGTGATAACAGAGCATAAAACCAAGTATGAGTCCATGAAGCTGGTCCTGAATAAACTGATATGGAATTCTAGTTTTTATATAATAAGTGTATAAAAGAAAAAGATAAAGCATGAAATAGTGCTAAATAACAAAGAGTTTTCCATTTTTAGGGAGGATGAAGAGGGAAGATGTCTGAAAAAAATGGGTTTCAATTAATAAGCTAAAAGAAGGAAGGAAGGGAGCCATGGAGCCATCTGGAGAAACGCGTTCTTGGCAAAGGATACAAAAACCCCAATTGGAAACATGCCTATGTCCAGCTTACTGAAGAAACAACAGCTAGAGTAGAAAAAGGGAGGAAAACAGTAGGAAAATTTGAGGCCAGAGAGTTAAAGGGGTAAGGAAAAAGGAGATATGGACAATATCAGGTAAGATGTCTTAGGTTATATTAAGGACTTTGACTTTTACTGTGGGTGAGATCACAGAAAATCCCTCATGCCAGGTTAGGCTTATACCTTTGTTTATTACATAAAAGTTTAAAATCTTACAATCAGGATCTACTAATTTATCTTCTCCCTTGACCTTAAAAGAGGAGATGAAGAAGAGATATTTATTGAGCTCCTCTTAGAAACCTGAAATCAAACAATAAAGTGGATTCATCAAAGTCTCTCAGATATTGTCATTTGGGCAATACTACATCTGTCATGTGGGATGGCTTAGAGCCCAAACATTTATTTTTGTCCTAGAACCATGGTCCAAATCAGTCTCTTGTCCCCTTCCCTACCCAGTCCCCGGTACATTCATTTAGGCTCCGGTATACTTAATAACAAATTCAGTGATTACATTGGTTTAAAATCCATAATATCTAAATAATAAGTATTTGCAAAAACAACATTCCCTTGGAAATGTATCCTTAAAATAAATTAGGAGAACATAGAGAGCTATTTGTAGAATTTTATCAGCAGATTAAAACTTTCAAACTCTGAAAACATTTTAAATTGTCACATTAACCATTTTATATGTATATTCTGAATACTTATTGAGTAAATATTTCTACCAATCAGTATATAAACTTTTCTTTGAAAAAAGAATGATGGAAAGATACTATGCTTATGTGCAAGGAGCTTCCAGTGTAATACAGGAGAGTGGGCAGGTGCTCACATTGCTAGAAGGAGGGAGGAAGGAAAAAATCAGATGGATTAAGTGCTGGAAAAAATTAGAAAAATAGATTACTCCTGGCTGCAGAGCCAGGTGAGCCTTCATCAAAAAGCAGCAGTTTTTGACAGTCATGTAAGGCATATTTTCTGTCCCTTACTCAGTTGCTAAAGGGAAGAGAACATAGGAAATAAAGAGAAATAAATACAGGATGAGGTAATGAGAGGATAGAAAATATGGGGGAAAATGATTGGGAAAGAGAAGAAAAAGAGGTTTCAGAAAACATGAAGAAACATGGTAGTTGCTGAAATATATAGACGGAAAATAAAAGGGGAAAAATAGAAGAGGAATTAGAAAAGGGAGGAAGGAAAAAAATGTGAAAAGATTGAGGTAAGCAGAGTTAGAGAACAAGGCAGTGAGACATTTATTATCAACTCCAGAGAGTGTGTCAAAAGCCTATGGGTTTCTTTCCAGGACACCCCCAAAATACAACCTTAGGTCTAATACCTTAATCTTCACACAGTTCTAGATCCACTCAGATACGCATTCCCTTCTATTTTGTTTTTGTCTAACTAACACAGCAATACTCACTCGCTTTGCTTAGGGTTCAATCTCAAAATCCCAACCCAAGAAGCGCCATAGGTTTTTGTGTAGTGGTTGTTGCTTGTGTATTTGAAAGCCACAGAACTTCTGTGTTTTGCCCTTGCAAACATAACTAGGAATAGAGAACACTGTCACGTGCCCTGAGGCTACCCAGTGGGTCCAGAAGTAAAAGTAAAACTTTCCCAACCACTTTTTCATACACAAATAGTGTTAAATTTGAAACCAGCAGCTGTGCACTTTAACCACTTTCTCTTGTGTGATTTATTCCAATTGCACTTCTTAAATAAAACTTCCATTTTAGCTATGGAAATAGATTTCCTTCCTGAACAACTTGTTCTTCTAGAAATAAGTGTTGAGTCAGATATGTGACAATGATTCTGCCAAAAGAAATATGCACCATAAACAGCGTCTTCCTATTTGTAGTTGTCTCATGTTCCTCTGTGATGGGAAAGCTTCTTTATCCACATTTTGGGCATGAAGAGGAAGTGTCTCATGGAAACAGACTAAAACAAATTCCTGAGAAGTGAGAATTACCTGTGGGACAATTTAAAATGTCTTTCAGAGAGCAGGAAAATGTGGTTTAAAGTATTGGTAGGTACTCAAACAGGTAGTTTCATCCACCACTTCTCAAGGACTTAGAAGTAAAAGCATATTTTAAAGTTAGTCTGGAAAGAGCAATTTCACTGTAGAATTTGCCCTACTTTCAATTTCTTAGGAAGAAATACTTGCTTTTGGTATTTGATAATCAATAAAAGCCAATCTTAGTGAACATTTTTCCTATAGCTTACATTATGATGAGTGCTTATGTAAGTCATCTCATTTTATCAATAAAACAACCATAAGAGGAAGGCATGCTGATCTCCATCAAACAGACCAGGCAAGTAAAGGTTCCTAGGCCATATGCCAGTAAAAGTCAGAACTTGGATTGGGACCAAGCCTAGATTATTCAAACAGTAGGTGCTTAACCAGTATCCTATGTGGCCTCTAATTGAAGCTTCTTTATCAGAAGACAATGTGTGGTATGCTAGAGTCTCAGCCGGTGGGCTAGGACAGGGAGTTGGGCTACTGAGGCTGAACATGGGCAGGATTTGTTATGTGAGACAGGAGAAAAGGTAAGAAAAAAAGTTCAAACAAAGCCATGTAAATGAAGTCAGAGATAGCAGTTGTGTAGACCAGATGGGGAAATAGATGTACTATGATCAAAAGCCAAGTTTCAAAAACTATATATGAACTTGATATAAATGGAAACAGGTCAGAAATAGTGGAGATGGTCTGGGAGAATTGGCTTAATGTATCGAAGTGCCCAGAGTTGGTCCATGAGTTTGTGAAAAATGAGTGGATTGTGCTAGCTTAAAGGATATCATACTTTATCATATGAAAATTAATAAGATAGCGATGTGTCTGCCAGGTATCACAGCATGCTGTTTCTGGAAGCAGCAAATAGGCAAGAAGTTCTATAAACTGCAGTACTTTTATCATAATTATCACCATCATTAACTATGAGAAGCAATATATAAAGTCAGAAATATGCTGCATATTAAGAGGCAATGTAGGAAACCAATATCAGACCCACAATGCACTGAAGCTTTTATGTATAATACCTTTTTTCTTCTATTTCCTTCAAGATTTTTAAGTCATAAAAACTTTTAGTAAATGAAATTTATAAACATACTTTTTTGTAAAAATACTACATACTGATAGCTTAAAGAACAATAAAGAAGATTAACATTCTAATACTCATAAATAGCCATTAACATTCGGTACCAGCCCAGGCATCATAGGGAGACCCTATCTCTACAAATAATTTTAAAAATTCGCTGAGTGTGGTGGTGTGTGCCTGTAGTCCCAGCTGCTTGGAAGGCTGAAGCAAGAGGATCTCCTGAGCCCAGGAGGTGAAGCTGCAGTGAGCCACAATCATGCCACTGCAATCCAGCCTGGGTGACAGAGTAGGACCCTGTCTCAAAAAACAAACAACAACAACAAATATTTGGTAAATATTATTTATGAAAAACTATATAATTCTGCTCATGTCAACTAACTTAGTTAACTTGGAATTCAGCTGAATTTAAGTGAAACAAAAAAATAGTGTTAATGTAAAACAAATGGAGTTACTGAGCTTCAGAGAATGAGTATTCTTACTTTGGAACAGGCTTCTAGTTCTGAACAGATGTGATTTTTCTGTCCTGTGCTCAGGGGAGATTTGTACTGCACTATGCTCCTTTGCTGATTTGTAGGACCATGTGATCTGGCCAATCGGTTAGGGAATGAGTATGTGTTCTCTCTAAATCTCACGTTGAATTGTATTGTGGGAAGAATTTGGGTTATGGAGGCAGATCTCTTAGGGCTTGGTGCTATCCTTGTAGTAGTGAGTGAGTTCTCTTGTGAGATCTGGTTATTTAAAAGTGTGTGGCACCTTCCCCCAACCTTGCTCTTGCTCTTGCTCTGGCCATGTGATGTGTCTGCCCCCTCTTTGCCTTTACCATGAGTAAAGCTGCCTGAGGCTTCCCCAGAAGCCAAGCAGATGCTGGTGCCATGCTTGTACAGCCCACAGAACCATGAGCCAATTAAACCTCTTTTCTTTATGAATTATCCAGCCTCAGGTATTCCTTTATAGCAATGCAAGAACAGAGTAACACAGGGATTGGGAGTGATAATGTGACTTCCAGATCAAAGAATCCAACTGTCATATATGCTTCCATAATAATCTCTTTCCCTACCACATTTATCAGGAAGCCTGCATAATCTGGACAATGCTGCTACATGATGAAATTTAATGGATGCAGATGCTGAGACCTATAGCTGACTTTGCAAGAGGAAAACATAGCCTTGTTATAGTCAGACACTGAGATTGTGAAGTTGTATATTACTACAAGTTATCCCCACCAATCTCAAATAATATCCCACAAGAGCAATATTCAGTTCCCAAACATGCCTCTAAAGTTTAGAAAAATGATACTAAAAATTAACAGGCTGAACTACAATGGTGAATATGTCATTATTCATTTGTAAAAACCCTGTAGGATGGTAGATCACAAGGTCAGGAGTTCAAGACCAGCCTGGCCAACATAGTGAAACTTTGTCTCTACTAAAAATACAAAAATTAGATGGGCATGGTGGCGCACACCTGTTGTCCTACCAACTCTGGAGGCTGAGGCAGGAGAATCGCTTGAACCCCGGAGGCGGAGGTTATGGAGTGGGCCACTGCACTCCAGCTTGGGCAACAGAGTAAGACTGTGTCTCAAAAGAAAAAGAAAAAGAAAAAAGAATGCACAGCACCAAGAATAAACCCTAAACTATGGACTGTGGATGATAATGTATTAATGTAGACTCATCAGTTTTTTGGTTTTGTTTTTTGGTTTTTGGTTTTGTTTTTGTTTTGTTGAAACAGAGCCTCACTCTGTTGCCCAGGCTGGAGTGCAGTGGCATGGTCTTGGCTCACTGCAGCCTCCACCTCCTGGGTTCAAGTGATTCTCCTGCCTCAGCCTCCTGAGTAGCTGGGACTACAGGCGGCACCACCATGCCCAGCTAATTTTTGTATTTTTAGTAGAGACGGGGTTTCACCATGTTGGCCAGGATGGTCTCAATCTCCTGACCTTGTGATCCACCCGCCTCAGCCTCCCTAAGTGCTGGGATTACAGGCCTGAGCCACCACCCCCGGCCAACTCATCAGTTTTAACAATGTACCGTCTGGTGGGGGATGTCAATAGTGAGGAAGGTTATGCATATGTGGGGCTGAGGAGCATATTGGAACTTTCTGTACTTGATGCTCAATTTTTCTGTAAGTCTAAATCTGCTCTAAAAAAAAAGGTCTGTTTTTAAAATTATCAGGTTGAGATATTGTATTTTTTAAACCACACATTTCAATATTGGCATCTATTGCCTACTTCTGCTCCATAATATGTGAGAAAATTGGCATTTCTTTCAAAGTTTCTTCAAATTCTTAAAAAATTATTGTTACCTATATTATTATTTTTACTTTTTTATACTTATATCAAATTACCTTCTGTTTTATAAACATAATTTTTATAGTTGTTATGTCTTACGTGCGTAACTAAATGGATTAAATGCCTACCACAAATGCTTTCAACATGATTTCTATATCCTGAGTTCTGTCTTGTTTCTTTTCCTTTTTGCATGGATTTTCTTATTCATTAGAATTTTGTTTGTTAGCATCATTTCTTGCTTATTTTGGTAATAGGAAGTTAGATGCTTCAGTCCTAAACATCTTGAATATCCATAAATGTTCTTTGTTACCTTTATACTAAAATTGACAACAGGGCTAAAGATCTAAATATTAGGTCACACTTTTCTACAAAATTTCTTCTCTGTCTGCTGGGATAAGTGGTGATGAGGAAAGTCTGAGGCCCAAATTCCATATAATTTGCTTTGTCTGCTTCAATGACTACTCACATAAGCCTTCTGTTTTCTTTTTAAATTAAGTAATGTTATCAAGATATAAATTGGTGTTTACTTTTTCTGTATCAAAATCATCTGGCGATTGATATGTGCTTTCACTCTGAAGATAGCGATGTTTGTTTCAAAAGAACTTTGAGTTTATATACTTAATTACACTTTCTATTGTATGTAGTCTTTTTCAAGGACATAAATTATATATGTTTTATATCTCCTCCCTTATCCATGACTATGATCTTTTCTGTAAAAGTGTTTTTAATATTTTATTCTAATATGTATTGTTTCTAATATGATATTCATCTCTCTGATAGATTTTATTTTCTCTCATTTATTTTCTGAGAGTTCACAGTTCATTTTCCACTTTCTTTTTCATCTTTGTAGCACCTTTTTGAGATACATTATAAAATAGAACATGTTGTCTACAGCATCCTGGAACTTGTCCAGAATTGTCAGCCTGAACTCTTCAGGTGGAAATATGGGTAATTTCTGCCTCCTATATTTGTTGCCTTTTAAAAGGCTATCAGTTGCATTTTCCTTAAATACACATTTTCTCTTTATCTATCTATCTAGCAGAGAATAAACTTAAACATTCAAAACTCAAATATACAAAAATATTACCCCTTTATTATATTTTATATATTTTATACATTGACATATTAAATTGTGTGTATTTATCATTTACAATATGATGTTTTGAAGTATATATACATTTTGGAATGACTGTATCTAGCTAATTAACATGTGCATTAGCTAATATCGTTATAATTTTTGTGATAAGAATACTTTACATCCACTCTCTTAGCATTTTGCAAGAATATAATGTATTATTAACCATAGTCATCATGTTGTAAAATAGATTTTTTGAACGTATTGCTCCTGTCTAACTGAAATTTTGTATTCTTTGACCAACATTTCCACAGCACTTCTCCAACTATCCTAGCCACTGGTAACTACCATTCTACTCTACTTCTAGGAAATTGACTTTTTTAGACACCACATATAAAGAAAAAATGTGGTATTTGTCTTCCTGTGCCTGGTGTATTTCACTTAACATCTTTTAGGCTTATCCACGTTGTCACAAATGACAAGATTTCTTTCTTCTTACGGTTGAATAATATTCCTTGTGTGTATATACCACTTCTTTTTTTATCTGTTTGTCCATGTTGGACACTTAGGTTGATTCCATGTCTTGGCTATTGTGAATAGTGCTGCAATAAACATGGAAGTGCAGATATGTCTTTGAGATAGTGATTTCATTCTTTTGTATACCTAGTACTGCTGGATTATATAGTAGTTCTACTTTTATTTTTCTAAGAAACTTCCATACTGTTTATCTTAATGGCTGTTTTAATTTACATTCCCAACAGTGTCCAAGGGTTCTTTTTTCTCCACACCCACACCAATATTTATCATTTTTCTTTTTGGTAACAGCCATCTTAACCAGTGTGAGGTGATATCTCATAGTAGTGATATCTCATTTGTGTTTCCCTCATGATTAGTGATGTTGAGCCTTTTTTCATGTATCTGTTGACCATTTTATGTCTTTCTTTGAGACATGTCTATTTTTTGAGCTATTTGTTTTATTCTTACTTTAATTGAGTTTCTTATATATTTTGGAAATTAGCCTTCTATCAAATATATAGTTTACAAATATGTTCCCCGATTTTGTAGGTTATCTCATCACTCTAATTGATTCTTTCCTTTGCTTTGTAGAAAATTTTCAGTTTGTTGTAATCCCATTTGTCTGTTTTTGCTTTTGTTGCCTGTGCTTTTGGAGTCATACTTAAAAAGTCATTGTCCAAACCAGTGTCATGGAGCTTTTCCCCTGTGTTTTCTTCTAGTAGTTTCATAGTTTCAGGTCTTATACTTAGGTGTTTAATCCACTTTGAGTTGATTTTCTATACAGTGTGAGATGAGAGTCTAATTTTATTCTTCTGTTTGTGGATATCCAATTTTTCCCAACATAAATTATTGAAGACACTCTCCTTACCACATTGTGAAATCTTGCCTTCTTTGTTGAAAATCAGTTGACATAAATGCATGAATTTATTTATTTCTGGGCTCTCTATTAGGTTCCATTGGTCTATGTGTCTGTTTTTATGGCAGTACCATGTTGTTTTGTTTACTATGGCGTTGTGGTATATTTTGAAATTAGGTAGTGTGATGCCTCCAGTATTGCTCTTTTTGCCAAAAATGGCTCTGGCATTCAGGGTCTTACGTGGTTTCAAAAATTTTTTTAAATATTTCTGTAAAGAATGTCACTGATATCTTAATAAGGGTTGCGTTGGATCTATAGGTTATTTGTGTAGTGTACATATTTTATTAACTTTCAATCTATGAACATGTGATATCTTTTCATTTATTTGTCTCCTCAATTTTTTTCTTCAATGTTTTATACTTTTTGGTGAACAGGTCTTTCACCTCCTTGGTTAAATTTACTCCTAAGTATTTCGGTAGCTATTATAAAAGAATTTTTTAATTTCTTTTACAGATAGTTCACTGTGAGTATATAGAAACTACTGCAACTTTGCTGAATTCATTTCTTAGTTATAACAGTCTTTAGTGACGTCTTTATGGTTTTCTGTACATAAGATCATATCATCTGCAAGTAGGGACCACTTAGCTTCTTCTTTCCCAATTTGGATGCCTTTTATTTCTTTCTCTTATCTAATTGCTCTGACTAGGACTTCCAATATCATATTCAATAGAAATGGCAAGAGTATCCTTGTTTTGTTCCAATTCTCGGGGGAAAAGCTGTCAACTTCTCTCTGTTGAGTATTATTTTAGCTACAGGTTTTGTTGTATATGCCCATTATTGTGTTGCAGGCCATTTCTTCTATAACTAATTTGTTGAGAGTTTTTATCATGAAATAATATTGAATTTTGTGAAATGTTTTTTTCTGCGCCTATTAAAATGACTGTATAAATTTTGTCCTTCATTTTCTTAAGGTGATGTATTACATTTAATTTACATGTGTTAGGCCATCCTTGCATCCCTAAGATGAATCCCATTCAATCATGGTGAATAATTTTTTTAAATGTTGCTGAATTCACTTTGCCAGTGTTTTCTCAATGATTTTTATGTCTATGTTCATCCAGAATATTGACCTGTAGTTTTCTTTTTTTGCAGTTTCTTTGCCTGGCTTTGGTATCATATTTAAGCTGACTTCTAAAATGCTTGGAAGTATCCCCTCTTTTTCAATATTTTGAAATTGGTTGAGATGAATTGGTATTAGTTCTACTTAAATGTTTGATAGAATTCAACAATGAAGCCATAAGTTCCTGGACTTTTATTTGATAACAGGCTTTTTATTACTGATTCAATTTTCTTATTCATTATTGATCCATTAATATTTTCTATTATTTTTAATTCAGTTTTGATAGTTTGCATGCATCGAGGAATTTATTTCTTCTAGTTTGTCCCATTTTTTGGCATATAATTTTTCATAATAATCTCTTATGACCCATTGTATTTCTGTTTTATTAGTTGTAATGTCTTCTTTTCCATTTCTATTTTTACATATTTTAGTCTTCTTTTTTTCTTAGCCTAGCTAAAGGTGTGCCAATTTTGTATACCTTTTCAAAAAAAGTGCAGTTTTGTTTATCTTTTCCAGTGTTTTTCTAGCCTCTATTTTATTTATTTCTCCTCTCTTCTTTATTATTTCCATTCTTCCATTAACTTTGGGCTTAGTCTGTTCTTGTTTTCCCAGTTCCTTGAGGTGCAATGCTAGGTTGTTTATTGGAGATCTTTCTTCTTTTTTGATATAGGTGTTTATTATTAAGAATTTCCTTCTTAAAGCTCTTTTTGCTATATGCCATAGGTTTTGGTATACTGTTTACATTTTCATTTGTCTTGAGAAGTTATTTAAATTTTCCTTTCAATTTGTTTGTTACCTCATTGGTTGTTTAGGAGCATGTTGTTTAATATACATATGTTAGTGATTTTTTTTTTCAAAGTTCCTCCTGCTATTGATTTTTAGTTTTATATCATTGTGGTCAGTAAATATATCTAATAAGATTTTAGTCTTCTTAAATTTGTTAAAACTTCTTTTGTGGTATAACATGTTATCTATTTTGGAGAATGTTCTGTATGTAATTGAGAAGAATGTTTTCTGCGGCTATTGGATGGAACATTCTGTATATGTCTGTTAGGTTTGTTTACTCTAGAATGCTTAAGTCTGAAGTTTCCTTAATAATTTTCTATATGGATGATTTGTCTATTGCTGAAAGTGCAATGTTGAAGTTCCCTACTATTATGTATTGCAGTATGTTTCTCCCTTCAGATTGATTTTTGTTTGCTTTATATATTTAGCTACTTCAATATTGTCTGCATATATATTTACAATTTTCATATCTTCTTGCTGAATTGACTCCTTTGTCATTATATAATGATGTTCTTTATCTCTTTTTATACTTTCTTACTTAAAATCTATTTTGTCTGATATAAATATAGCCGCTTTTGCTCTCTTATGGTTTTCATTAGCATGGAATATCTTTTTTTTATCACTTCACTTTCAGCCTATGTGTGTTCTTACAAGTGAAAGGAGTTTCATGTAGACAGCATATAACTGGGTCTTGGTTTTTTAAATTCATTCAGCCACCTTATATATTTTAATTACAAATTTTAATTCATTTACATGTGAGGTAATTATCAATAGGGAAGGACTACGACTGTCATTTTATTAACCTTTTTATAGATCAGTTGTTCCTTTCTTCCTCTTCTGCTTTTTTTGTGGTTAAGTGATTTTCTCTAGTGGTATGTTTTGTTTTCTTTATTCTTTTTTTTTGTGTGTGTATCTACTATAGGATTTTACTTTGTGATTACCATGAGGCATACAAAAAAGATCTATAGTTATAACAGGTTGTTTTAAGCTGATGATATCCTTCATGACAAAAACTTAGAACTTTATATTTTTACTCCAAACTCTCCACACATTTTGAATTTTTGATCCCACAGTTTACATCATTTTATATGACATATCTCTTAAAAATTATTGTAACTATTATTATTTTTAATGGTTTTGTGTTTCAACCTTCACACTAAAAAATATATAAGGTCTTTACATTCAACTATTACAATATTAGAGTATTCTGAATTTGACTGTCTACTTTTACCAGTGAATTTTATACTTTTGGATGTTTTTTGTATTTTAGTGTTCTTTTCTTTCAACTTGAAGAACTCTCTTCAGCATTTTTTTTAATAAGACAGGTATGATGGTGAGAAACTTCCTCAGCTTTGCCTGTCTGGAAAAATCTATCTTGCATTCATTTATGAAGAACAACTTTGCTTGGTACAGTATACTTGGTTGACAGTATTTTTTTCCTTTAGGACTCTGGATATTTTGTCTATCTCCTAAGATCTCTGCTGAGAAGTCTTCTGCCAGCCATATTGAAACTCTCACACATTATTTGCTTTTTCTTGCTGATTTCAGAATCCTCTTTTTGTGTTTGATTTTTGACAGTTTGATTATAATGGCTTAGATAGTCTTATTTGGATTGAATATGATTAGAGATTTTGACCTTCCTGTATCTGGATATTTACATCTTTCTTTGGGTTTGAAAATTTTTCTACAATTTTTATATAAGTTTTCCTTTTATCTTTCTCTTCTCCTCCTTTAACTCCTGTGATTCAAAAATTTGTTCATTTGATCCTGTCCCATTAGTTCCATAACTTTCTTCATTCTTTTTTATTCACATTTTTTACTGTATGTTTTTAAATAACCTGGTCTTGAGTTCACAAATTTTCCCTTCTGCCTGATAAATTCTGCTGTCTGTGCTCTTTATTGCACTTTTTATTTTGTTCATTATACTTTTCAGCTTCAAAATGTCTGTGTGGATTTTTTACTATTTCAATCTCTCTATTGAATTTCTCATTCTGGTCACATATTTTTCCTTATTTAGTTGAAATATTTCTCTATATTTTCTTGAAGTTTGCTGAGCTTCCTAAAACAGTTATGTTAAACTCTTTGTCAGGCAGTTTATACATCTCCATTTCTTTAAGGTCAGACAGTCCCTGGCATCTTATTTCTTTGGTGATATTATGTCTCCATCATTGTTCTTGATTGTTGTGGTTGTGCATCAGTGGCTGCATAGATAGAACAGAAGAGGTAGATACTTATTTCAGCCTTCACAGACTAGTTTATTCTGGAAAATCCTTGCAATAGGCACACTGCTAGGGTACACCAGAAGCCCAGGGTAGTTACGACTGTCACAGTGCTGCCAGAAGCACAACATCAGGGACAATGCTGGGGTAAGTCTGATTCCCAGGGTCACTGAGTCCTGCTGCTTAGAAGTTTTTAGAGCCCAGGGTCTCCTCTGACCACCAGGATCACCCCCCTGACGCCCACTGAGGAAACTGCAGCTACACACAGAAGGAAGCTCAAAAGCTACATTAAGCCCCACTAGAGAAAGAAATTGAAGATGCCAAGATGCGGCGTGAAGTCCCAATTTTGAGATCTTTTAATGTGAAAAGGAAGATGGTAACATGGAGGAAGGAATTACAGTCTGAATTTGAAGAAATTAAGTCTTTCTTGGAAAGGGAACAAGCCACAATTCATGACAGGCTACTTACTGAAGAGAAGGAGGCTGAAGAAAAACTCACTGAAAACCAAAGATAAATTTCAAAGCACTTATTTGTACTACAAAATCAGTTAAATGAAATAACAGAGAATTGTTTTCAGGCAGACTTGGATGTGCTGACAGGTATTGAGAATATTTATAACACATATGAAAACCTGAAAACCCCTGCAATCTTCTTATATGAATCAAAGAAGGAGAGTTTGAGCCTCCCTCCACATTATTTTGGCCTGCAAGGAATGATGAGCACATTTCAGGAAGATTTGATGCTAGATCCAGAAACAACCCACCCTAGTCTTATTATCTCAAGAGATAGAAAAAGTGTGATACTAAGGATGACGAGGCCAAACTTTTTTGGCAATTCTCAGTCATTTAGTTTTTACCCAGCTGTCCATAGCTGTGAGGGATTTGATGCTAGGAGACACTTTTGGCAAGTAGAAGTGAGAGGCACAGGTGCATTGTTCCTTGGTGTGTGTAAAGAAACATTTCCCAGAGACAGTCTTATATCACCAGTTCCACAGATGGGGTGCTGGCAAATTCAGCCATTCTGTAGTTCATGCACTACAAGGAATACAGAAGTCCTGCAAGTTGCCATTTTTCTGGACTATGAGTTGGGAGAGGTTTCATTTTATAGTTTAAAAAACAGATCATATGTGTATACTTTCACTGATAAGTTTACAGAAAAGCTTATGCCTTATTTCTCTATTGAACCTTCTTCACAAGCTGTTACAATTGGTATTGTCATAGACCAATGATGGGCTACTTAGAGAGCCCTTTGCATGGGGCTATCTTTTCTTCCTGTATTCTTGGAGGACATTTGTAATATAGATTCTGATTTTTTTTTAAAAAAAGAATATTTTAGAGCCCAGGGCCACTGACGTTGACCTAGAAATGGTACAGGCCAGAGACTGAGTTTGCCAAGCAAGCATGAAACCTAGAGCTTTTTGGTACTAGTAGGTGCCACGGTGAGTCTGAAAATTCTGTCTGTGGGTACTGAACTGGAATATAGGATTGTGGGTTTCTGCCAAGTGCCACATTTTACTGTGGAAGGCCAGCATTCTGTCCAAGACAAGTCCTGTGCTCACTTTTCTCTTTCCCCAGAGCAGATGTTATTGCTCTTCATACTGGGCTGCCTGGGGTTGGGAGAACAGTGACATGAATAATGTAAAACCATCCTTCCTACCATCTTCAATGCATCTTTCTTTATTGATGTTCTATAACTAGGTACTAAAATCTCTCACCTCATTTAATTAGCTCTTGTGAAGGTATTTTTTAATGTGTGATTAGTTTTTTTAATTTATGCTTCTATGGAAAGATCATTGCTGGAGAATCCTACTCTGCCATCTTGCACTGTCCTCTAGATTAGACTTCTTTTATTTTATACAGGCAACTTCATAGTGGCCCTTAAGTCTCTCAGTCTTCTTAGCATAGAGAACTTATTGTATATGACATGCTTACATATATATCTTGAATTATTGACTTGGGAGACTCATAACTGATTTTCTGTTTAAATTATTAGATATTTATCTCTCAAAAATTCACTATGGAATAGAAAAAGTCATAAAGCATTAGTAAAGAATATATATATTTTTAATTATCATATTAACAAAGGTTTTCTCTTTAATCACACTCAGGCTCATATGAGCTCTCTTCTTGACTTGACCTCAACTTTAGCCTATAAAGAATGCAGACTTTCAGCATAAATAATTTCATCTACCCCATGCTCTAAGAGATGTTAACATACTCTAGCATGCCTCCATACAGCCCAAGGATGTGTGAAAGAAAAATAAAAACTTGGGACCCCAATTCACTATGCCAAAAGAAAAAAAATAAGCTAAGTCATGCAAGAAGTTGCCTTTCCTATTGTTCCTAAGCATATATCTACAGATAAAATATTAAATATCTCCACAGGTAGCTACTATACATTCACCCTATCTAATGCAAAGTGCCAAGTTACTGAGTGCAAGATGAATATATAATTGACTATTCCCCCACCTTCTCCTTTTCTCATGCAATGTGTGAATTACTATATGCTTCCTCTTCCACTCTAGCCCAGTTTTCCCCCTTTAAATACCAAAGCCCTGAAAGTTGACTTTGGAGAAAGGGACAGACCACAGACTTTCTGGGATTCCATGTTTATTTTTTCCAGGCACATCCTTAACGGTGGCAAAATAAGCTTCTATGTTAATTACAACCTGTATCTCATACTTTTTGGTTTACAGATGTGTTTTGGGATGACCCAACCACTCCTCTTAAATTACTACCTGAGAAAGCTGAAGGCTGCTGAAAGAATTTAGTATTTGCTCTAGCCAACACCTGAAAAGGGAGACCCTGTCTCCCAGTCACTGTGGGATGGTAGCAATGTATCTATGAAAAGCACCAGTTAGCAAACCCAGATGACCTAATCACACTGGCCAATCATACTCCCTGCTTTTCAGTTCTCTGACTTTGCTGGAACCCCACTTTTTCCTCTTTCCTACTCTGTCATTATCCCTTTATAATGCCACTCACCGCTACCAAAATAAAGTTAAGCTCAGTTTACATCAGACTTTCTTCCCTATTGCAGTAGTTATTGAGTAAAATCTGCCTTACAGTCTTTAACAAGTGTCCAGCTTTATTTATCTTTGACAAAATACATCAAGATATACCATGTACATGAACTAGAAGATGCAGTATTATAGTGATGTCAATCCTGCCCAGTTTGTTCCCTAAATTCAGTGCAATCACAATTAAGGTCTGAAAAGTCTGCAGGTATAACTTAACAATCAGATTCTAATTAACATAGAAAATGAAAAGTCCTAGAATAGCCATTATTATTTAAAATAGTATAGAGGGACTCTGCAGTAAGAAAGAGAGTCCAATGTTAACTTTGATTCAAATAGAGGTAAAGGGGCATTCTAAAGGGAGAATGAAGGAGTAGAGAAGGGAAACAAGTGAGGTTTGAGCAGAGTCAGAGAACTGGAAGACCAGTAGGATGATTGGTCAATGTGATTAGGATATCTGGGTTTGCTAACTGGTGTTTTACAAAACATCAGCTTTACTATAAAGTTACTATGATTAAGATGATGTGGTACTAGCACAGAGATACATGGTAAGACCAATGGAAGGGAAGGAAATCAAAATCAAACACATGTCTATAAATAAACTTGACATATAATTGGGATCATATTACCAATCATCGGGGGAATAATGGACTATTTAATATATTATTCTGAGACAATTGGTTATCTACTTGAGAAAAAATTTGAACTAGATTTTAATTTGCCTTAATTTATAAAAATAAAACATAAAAGTTTAAAATACCATAATAATACATATTATTGTTTGTAATTCAAATATAGTATATAATTACAGCATAAAAAATGCATGGACTTAGGCCTATACAATTTCAGTTAAACATTTGGAAATAAATAATGCAAGGAAATGATGTACAAATAAGGATACGATTTACTTCAGAGAAAAGTGAGTGAATGGTATTAGAGATGAGACACAGGAAGTTTTAATTTTGCCTTTTATAATTTATTTCTTAAAAAAATAAGCTGAGGTAAATTTGACAAGCAATTACAATATTTTTAAAGTCACTTTTCAATTTTCTATAACTCAGCACATTGGAATTATTCTTACTAAATTGGGAAAAAAGGAATTAACATTCATTGAGTTCTTACTCTGTGCCACTTGTGACACTAAAAGCCTTCATTTACAATTTTATATATTCCTCACAAATACTATATAAAGTAGTCATCATTTAAGGTCAATTTATTTAAAAAGAAATTGAATTTCTAAAAGGTTAATTTCCCAAAGGTTTAAAAATCCAGTCATGTCTGATTCCAAAAGTACAGAAGCATTTTGCTGAATCATAAATTTTTTAAATGTGTCTGTGAAGCAAAGCATGATAAACCCAAAACTCCTATTAGAGTTTATTTCTATAGTTCCCTTAAGCACTGATACAGCATGAAAATATCTAGTGTTTTCAATTGCCATGGCTTCTTAGTATAAATATTAATAGAATTATAAAAAATATTTGCTAATATAATAAGAATTATATTGTGTGTTTGCCAAATGATATGAACGTTGTGACCCAGAGAATGGGAGTTATTTCTGAGTCATCTTCTGAAGTTATTTGCCATTTTCTTTTCAATGTGGTTAACATAAAACTTGCTATATTTGTCCATTCTCTCCTGCTATGAAGACATACCCAAGACTGGGTAATTTATAAGAAAGAGGTTTAATTGACTCACAGTTCAGCACAGCTGGGGAGGACTCAGGAAACTTACAGTCACAGCAAAAGAAGAAGCAAACATATTCTTCTTCACATGGCAACAGGAAGGAGAAGAATGAGCAATGATGGTGGTGAGGAAGCCCCTTATAAAACCATCAGAACTTGTGAGAACTCACTATCATGAGTAGAGCATGCAGGTAACTGCAACCATGATTCAATTACCTCCCACTGGGTCCCTCCCACGACACATGGGGAATATGGAAACTACAGTTCAAAATGATATTTGGGTGGGGACACAGCCAAACCATATGATTTCACCATTGGCCCCTCCAAAATTTGATGTCCTCCATTTCAAAAGACAATAATGCCTTCCCATTCCATTCCAGCATTAACTCTTAAGTCCAAGTCCAAAATCTTATCTGAGACAGGGCACATCCCTTCCACCTATAAACATGTAATATCAAAAGCAAGTTAGTTACTTCTTAGATACAATGGGGATACAGGCATTGGGTAAATACATCCATTCCAAATAGGAGAAATTGACTGATACAAAGGAGCTACAGGCACCATGCAAGTCTAAAATCCAATAGGGCAGTCACTAACCTTAATGTTCCAAAATGATTCCCTTTGACTTCACGTCTCACATCCAGATCATGCTGATCCAAAAGGTGGGCTAACATGGACTTGGGCAGCTCTCCCCCTGTGGCTTTGCAGGGTATATTCCCCCTCTCAACTGCTTTCACAGGCTGTTGCTGAGTGTCTATGGCTTTTCCAGGCATATGATACAAGCTGTCAGTGGATCTACCATTATGGAGTTTGGAGGACAGTGACCCTCTTCTCACATCTCTACTAAGCCGTGTCCTAGTTGAGACTCTATGTGGGGGGCTATGACCCCACATTTCCTTTTCTCAATGCCCTAGCAGAGGTTCTTCATGAGGACTCCACTCATGCAGCAAACTTCTGCCTGGACATTCAGGCATTCCCATAAACCCTATGAAATCTAGGTGGAAGTTCCCAAACCTCAATTTTTGACGTTTTCATACCCACAGGACAAACACCATGTGAAAGCTGCCAAGGCTTGGGGCTTTCACCCTCTGAAGCCACAACCCAAGCTATACCTTGGCTCCTTTTAGTCATGGCTAGACTGGCTGGGATGCAGGGTCCCAAGTCCCAAGGCTGCACAGAGGATGGGGGGCTCTGAGGCTGGTCCAGGAAACCATTTTTTACTCTAAGACCTCTGGCCCTGTGATGGAAGGGGTTACTGTGAAGGTCTCTGACATACCCTGGACACATTTTCACCATTATCTTGGTGATTAACATTTGAATCCTCCTTACTTGTGCAAATTTCTTCAGCAGGCTTGGATTTCTAACCAGAAAATGAATTTTTCTTTTCTATGGCATTGTTAGGCCACAAATTTTCCAAACTTCAATACTCTGCTTTCTCTTGAATGCTTTGCCATTTACAAATTTTTTCCATCAGATACCCTAAATCATCTCTTTCCAGTTCAAAACTCCACAGATCTCTAGAGCAGGGAAAAAAATGCCACCAGTCTCTCTCCATAGCAAGAGCAACCTTTACTCCAGTTCCCAAGAAGTTTCTGATCTCCATCTGAGACCACCTCAGCCTGGATTTCATGGTCCATATCACTATCAGCAGTTTGGTCAAAGCCATTCAACAAGTCTCTAGGAAGTTTAAACTTTCCCACATCTTCTTTTCTTCTGAGTTCTCCAAGTCTTTAGGAAGTTCCAAATTTTCCCACATTTTCCTGTCTTCTTCTGAATCCTCCAAACTGTTCAAAACTCTTCCTGTTACCCAGTTCCAATGTTGCTTCCACATATTCAGTATGGTTGAACTAGTTTACAGTCCACCAACAGTGTAAAAGTGTTCCTATTTCTCCACATCCTCTCCAGCACCTGTTGTTTCCTGACTTTTTAATGATTGCCATTCTAACTGGTGTGAGATGGTAACTCACTGTGGTTTTGATTTGCATTTCTCTGATGGCCAGTGATGATGAGCATTTTTTCATGTGTCCGTTGGCTGCATAAATGTCTTCTTTTGAGAAGTGTCTGTTCATATCATTTGCCCACTTTTTGATGGGGTTGTTTGATTTTTTTCTTGTAAAATTGTTTTCTTGTAAAAACAATCAGTTCATTGTAGATTCTGGATATTAGCCCTTTGTCAAATGGGTAGATTTTAAAATTTTTATCCCATTCTGTAGGTTGACTGTCCACTCTGATGGTAGTTTCTTTTGCTGTGCAGGAGCTCTTCAGTTTAATTGGATCCCATTTGTCAATTTTGGCTTTTGTTGCCATTACTTTTGGTGTTTTAGTCATGAAGTCCTTGCCCATGCCCATGTCCTGAATGGTATTGCCTAGGTTTTCTTCTAGGGTTTTTATGGTTTTAGGTCTCACATTTAAGTCTTTAATCCATCTTGAATTAAATGTTGTTTAAGGTATAAGGAAGGGATCCAGTTTCAGCTTTCTACATATGGCTAGCCAGTTTTCCCAGCACCATTTATTAAATAGGGAATCCTTTCCCCATTTCTTGTTTTTGTCAGGTTTGTCAAAGATCAGATGGTTGTAGATGTGTGGTACTATTTCTCAGGGCTCTGTTCTCTTCCATTGGTCTATATGTCTATTTTGGTACCAGTATCATGCTGTTTTGGTTACTGTCGCCTTGTAGTATAGTTTGAAATCAGGTAACGTGATGCCTCCAGCTTTGTTCTTTTGGCTTAGGATTGTCTTGGCAATGCAGGCTCTTTTTTGGTTCCATATGAACTTTAAAGTAGTTTTATCCAGTTCTGTGAAGAAAGTCATTGGTAGCTTGATGGGAATAGCATTGAATCTATAAATAACCTTGGGCAATATGGCCATTTTCGTGATATTGATTCTTCCTATCCATGAGCATGGAATGTTCTTCCGTTTGTTTGTGTCTTCTTTTATTTCATTGAGCAGTGGTTTGTCGTTCTCCTTGAAGAAGTCCTTTACATCCCTTGTAAGTTGGATTCCTAGGTATTTTATTCTCTTTGAAACAATTGTGAATGGGAGTTCACTCATGATTTGGCTCTCTGTTTGTCTGTTATTGGTGTATAGGAATGTTTGTGATTTTTGCACATTGATTTTGTATCCTGAGACTTTGCTGAAGTTGCTTATCAGCCTAAGGAGATTTGGGGCTAAGATGATGGGGTTTTCTAAATATACAATCATGTCATCTGCGAGCAGAGACAATTTGACTTCCTCTTTTTCTAATTGAATACCCTTTATTTCTTTCTCCTGCCTGATTGCCCTGGCCAGAACTTCCGACACTATGTTGAATAGGAGTGGTGACAGAGGGCATCCCTGTCTTAATACTTCCAGTTTTTGCCCATTCAGTATGATATTCACTGTGGGTTTGTCATAAATAGCTCTTATTATGTTGAGATATGTCCCATTAATACCTAGTGTAATGAGAATTTTTACCATGAAGGGATGTTAAATTTTGTTGGAGGTCTTTTCTTTTCTGCATAGATTAAGATAATATTGTGGTGTTTGTGTTTGGTTCTGTTTATATGATGGATTACATTTATTGATTTGCATATGTCAAACCAGCCTTGCATCCCAGGGATGAAGCCAACTTGATCATGGTGGATAAGCTTTTTGATGTGCTGCTGCATTCGGTTTGCCAGTATTTTACTGAGGATTTTTGCATCAGTCTTCATCAGGGATATTGGCCTAAAATTCTCTTTTTTGTTGTTGTGTCTCTGCCAGGCTTTGGTATCAGGATGAATCTGGCCTCATAAAATGAGTTAGGGAGAATTCCCTCTTTTTCTATTCATTGGAATAGTTTCAGAAGGAATGGTACTAGCTCCTCTTTGTAGCTCTGGTAGAATTCGGCTATTAATCCATCTAGTCCTGGACTGTTTTTTGGTTGGTAGGCTATTAATTATTGCCTCAATTTTTGAGCCTGTTATTGGTCAATTCAGGGATTCAACTTCTTCCTGGTTTAGTCTTGGGAGGTTGTATGTGTCGAAGAATTTATCCATTTCTTCTAGATTTTCTAGTTTATTTGTGTAGAGGTGTTTATAGTATTCTCTGATAGTAGTTTGTATTTCTGTGGGATCAGTGGTGATATCCCCTTTATCATTTTTTATTGCGTCTATTTGATTCTTCTCTCTTTTCTTCTTTATTAGTCTTGCTAGTGGTCTAACAATTTTGTTGATCTTTTCCAAAAACCAGCTCCTGGATTCATTGATTTTTTGAAGGGTTTTTTGTGTCTCTATCTCCTTCAGTTCTGCTCTAATCTTAGTTATTTCTTGCCTTCTGCTAGCTTTTGAATGTGTTTGCTCTTGCTTCTCTAGTTCTTTTAATTGTGATGTTAGGGCATCAATTTTAGATCTTTCCTGCTTCCTCTTGTAGGCATTTAGTGCTATAAATTTCCCTCTACACACTGCTTTAAGTATGTCCCAGAGATTCTGGTAGGTTGTGTCTTTGTTCTCATTGGTTTCAAAGAACATCTTTATTTCTGCCTTCATTTCGTTATGTACCCAGTAGTCATTAAGGAGCAGGTTGTTCAGTTTCCATGTAGTTGAGCAGTTTTGAGTAAGTTTCTTAATACTGAGTTCTAGTTTGATTGCACTGTAGTCTGAGAGACAGTTTGTTATAATTTCTGTTCTTTTACATTTGCTGAGGAGTGCTTTACTTCCAACTATGTGGTCAATTTTAGAATAAGTGTGATGTGGTACTGAGAAGAACGTACATTCTGTTGATTTGGGGTGGAGAGTTCTGTAGATGTCTATTAGGTCTGCCTGGTGCAGAGCTGAGTTCAATTCCTGGATATCCTTGTTAACTCTCTGTCTCGTTGATCTGTCTAATGTTGACAGTGGGGTGTTAAAGTCTCCCATTATTATTGTGTGGGAGTCTAAGTCTCTTTGTAGGTCTCTAAGGACTTGCTTTATGAATCTGGGTGCTCCTCTATTGGGTGCATATATATTTAGGCTAGTTAGCACTTCTTGTTGAATTGATCCCTTTACCATTATGTAATGGCCTTCTTTGTCTCTTTTGATCTTTGTTGGTTTAAAGTCTGTTTTATCAGAGACTAGGATTGCAACCCCTCCTTTTTTTTTTGTTTTCCATTTGCTTGGTAGATCTTCCTCCCTCCTTTTATTTTGAGCCTATGTGTGTCTCTGCACATGAGATGGGTCTCCTGAATACAGCACACTGATGGGTCTTGACTCTTTAACCAATTTGCCAGTCTGTGTCTTTTAATTGGAGCATTTAGCCCATTTACATTTAAGGTTAATATTGTTATGTGTGAATTTGATCCTGTCATTATGATGTTAGCTGGTTATTTTGCTCATTAGTTGATGCAGTTTCTTCCTAGCCTTGATGGTCTTTACAATTTGGCATGTTTTTGCAGTGGCTGGTACCGGTCGTTTCTTTCCATGTTTAGTGCTTCCTTCGGGAGCTTTTGTAAGGCAGGCCTGGTGGTGACAAAATCTCTCAGCATTTGCTTGTCTGTAAAGTATTTTATTTCTCCTTCACTTATGAAGCTTAGTTTGGCTGGATATGAAATTCTCGGTTGAAAACTCTTTTCTTTAAGGATGTTGAATACTGGCCCCCACTCTCTTCTGGCTTGTAGCGTTTCCACTGAGAAATCCGCTGTTAGTCTGATGTGCTTCCCTTTGTGGGTAACCCGACCTTTCTCTCTGGTTGCCCTTAACATTTTTTCCTTCATTTCAACTTCGGTGAATCTGACAATTATGTGTCTTGGAGTTGCTCTTCTCGAGGAGTATCTTTGTGGTGTTCTCTGTATTTCCTGAATTTGAATGTTGGCCTGCCTTGCTAGGTTTGGTAAGTGCTCCTGGATAATATCCTGAACAGTATTTTCTAGCTTGGTTCCATTCTCCCCATCACTTTCAGGTACACCAATCAGACATAGATTTGGTTATTTCACATAGTCCCATATTTCTTGGAGGCTTTGTTCATTTCTTTTTACTCTTTTTTCTCTAAACTTCTCTTCTTACTTCATTTCATTCATTTGATCTTCAATCACTGATACCCTTTCTTCCACTTGATTGAATTGGCTACTGAAGCTTGTGCATGCATCACGTAGTTTTCAGCTCCATCAGGTCATTTAAGGTCCTCTCTATGCTGTTTATTCTAGTTAGCCATTCTTTTTTCAAGGTTTTTAGCTTCTTTGCGATGGGTTCAAACATTCTCCTTTAGCTCAGAGAAGTTTGTTACTATGAATCATCTGAAGCCTTCTTCTCTCAACTCATCAAAGTCATTCTCCGTCATGCTTTGTTCCATTGCTGGCAAGGAGCTGTGTTCCTTTGGAGAAGAGGTGCTCTGATTTTTAGAATTTTCAGCTTTTCTGCTCTGGTTTCTCCCCATCTTTGTGGTTTTATCTACCTTTGGTCTTTGATGATGGTGATGTACGGATGGGGTCTTGGTGTGGATGTCCTTTCTCTTTGTTAGTTTTCATTCTAGTCAGGACCTTCAGCTGCAGGTCTGCTGGAGTTTGCTGGAGCTCCACTCCAGACCCTTTTGCCTGGGTATCACCAGTGGAGGCTGCATAACAGCAAATATTGCAGAATGGCAAATATTGTTGCCTGATCCCTTCTCTGGAAGCTTCATCTCGGAGGGGCATCCAGCTGTATGAGGTGTCAGTCAGCCCCTACTGGGAAGTGTCTCCCAGTTAGGCTATTCGGGGGTCAGGGACCCACTTGAGGAGGCAGTCTGTCCATTCTCAGATCTCAAACTCCGTTCTGGGAGAACCACTACTCTCTTCAAAGCTGTCAGACCGGGACATTTAAGTCTGCAGAAGTTTCTGCTACCTTTTGTTCAGCTATGCCCTGCCCCCAGAGGTGGAGTCTACAGAGGCAGGCAGGCATCCTTGAACTTTGGCAGGCTCCACCCAGTTCAAGCTTCCTGGCTGCTTTGTTTACTTACTCAAGCCTCAGCAATGGTGGACGCCCCTCCCCGAGCCTCACTGCCACCTTGCAGTTCAATCTCAGACTGCTGTGCTAGCAGTGAGTGAGGTTCTGTGTGCGTGGCACCCTCCAAGCCAGGCACAGGATATAATCTTCTGGTATGCCATTTGCTAAGACCTTTGGAAAAGCACAGTATTAGGGTGGGAGTGTCCTGATTTTCTATGTACCATCTGTCACAGCTTCCCTTGGCTGGGGAAGGGAATTCCCTGACCCCTTGCCCTTCCCAGGTGAGGCAATGCCCCACCCTGCTTTGGCTCACACTCCCTGGGCTGCACCCACTGTCTGAAAAGCCCCAGTGAGATGAACCAGGTACCTCAGTTGGAAATGCCAAAATCACCCATCTTCTGTGTCACTCACGCTGGGAGCTGTAGACTGGAGCTGTTCCTATTCAGCTATCTTCAGAATTTTTTTTTTGGACATTTTAATCTTTTCTGTGAATTGCCCATTCAAATCCCTTATCTACTTATGAAATATGTATATTCAAAATTTTTATATTGATTTATGGCAGTTGTTTCTATACTCTGGATACCAATCTTTTGTCAGTTATAGATATCAGAACTGTTTTCACTAAGCCAATAAAATATTTGGCATTCTGTGTACCTAGCTAGAAGTTCTGTTACATTATCTTATTAAAATAAGCTGGGAAATGTAGAAATAGGGTGATATGATTGACAGATACATTCATTCCAGGTGTATCAGCAGCTTATTTGAAAACTAAAAATCTCACTTCTCTAGTCCTCTTTCTGGTAAAGACAAATGACCAATGTTGGATCCTTCTAAAATGTTCAATTTTTATGGTTTCCAACCCTCTGATGCCTCTTGCTTGACAGAATATACCATCTCTAAATTTCTTTAAATTCTAAAATATGCTTCACTATGGGAGGCAAATAACTTTACAGTCTTCTTAGCTGTTTTCTCACTTATAAAATAGAGGTACTGATATATATTTTACATAATCATTAGGAGGATTAAATGAGGCAATATGTGCTTTATGTAATACCTTGTGATTAACTGATAAAATACTAAAATAAAGCCCCAAATTTTAAATACTTCAACAATCTTGCAAAGAAATGGAAAAGAGAATTTGGTAAGGCCAGGGATAATATAGGGGCATAAGCTTATGAGAGTTAGCAAGCACTGAAGCAGTTTAGATTATTGGACTACTTTCAGCTTCAGATGTCCTGAAGCTTCTGTAAATAAGACACTAAGTGCAAAGAAATGGGCTCACCCTAAGCATAAATTCTGGTCTGACACATCAACACATGAATTTGGTATCCAAAATAGTCTATGCCTTCAGAGAAAGGAAAACTAGTACAAATAAACTCAAATACAGATATTGCTTGCTTTTGCCTAAGAAACACTAGGACATGTAACAATATGGCATATTTAAATCCAAATGCAAATATAAATATACTACATGCATACAATATAAATATACCAATAAAAAGACAGATTTGCAGAACAGAATTGATTTTTTTAAGTGACCTAACTACTCTGTCTATAGGAAACTTATTTAAACTATAATGGTATAGGTACACAAGAGACAAAAGAATGAAAAATATATATACCATGAAAACACTAATCAAAAGAAAATAAAAGTGCTTATATTAAAATCAGATATGTTTTAAGAAAAGAAAATTATCAAAGGGGTGTATTAACAAAATAATAAAACAGTCAATTCATCTAGAAGACATAATAATTCTGTATATATAAAACAACAGAGCTGCAAAACACATGAAGTAAAAGCAAAAAAAAACTAAACCAAGAAGACAGATCCACAATTATAACTGAAGACTTGAACTACTCTCTCAGTAGTTGAAAGAACCACTAAACAAAAAATCAGTTATAATACAGAAGAACTGCATAACATCATCAATCAATAGAATGTAATTGACATTTATAGAAGACCTAATAACAACAGAGCACACATTATTTTCATGCATACATGAGATGTTAACTAAAATAGGCCATATCTTTAGGTTATAAAACACACCTTGAAAATGTGAAAGAATCTTCACTGAACTGAAGAGTGAAAAGAAAATAATAAAAATTAGAAAATGGAAGGGAATATAAACCAGATGAAGTTTGTCCTCTGACAATAGCGAATTCAAACTAGGAATCAAAAATGGGAAGATAAGAGAAAACTATCAAAACACTTGGAAATTAAACACATTTCTAAATAATCTATGAGTCAATAATAAAATCTCAGGGCAAATAAATGTACTTAACTGATTAAAAATATAACATGTCAAAATATGTAGGATGTAGCTATAGCATTGCTTAAAAGGAAATTTAACATATTAAGTGCCTCTATTAGAAAGGAAAAAAGGTCTCAAAGTAAGAATCTAAGTCACCATCTAAGAAGCAAAAGGAGGGAGCCTCAAGATTGATGACTAAAGGCATTTGGCACTCACCTCCTTCACAAAGAAGAACCAAAATAGCAACTAGATGATCACACTTTGAATAGAGAATCTAAAAGACAACACTGAAATTCTACAGAGAAGTGAAAGAAGACACCTGAGTCACAGAAGGAGATGAAAACAAAGCATCAGCTGGCAAGATCAGATGGTAGCCTGGAGATGCTCCCTAGTGCAAGGAAAAGGTAAGTGAGAGATCCACAATGGTTCAGATTCCCACCACAGACTCTTAGAATTCCAACCATGGGATATCCCCTCAATCATCAAGAATTCTGAGACTAAGGATCTGCCTGGAGTTTGCATGACAACATTGCTCTAAAGAGGGAGTCCATGCTGGGCCTCACACCCCCTGAGACCCAAGCAGCCACAGCACAGCACCATTTTGAAAGCCCAGACTCCATCGGACTTCATCCTGTCCTGGAGCTCAACAACCCCTGCATCTCCACAACACTGGAGCCCCACTGACATCCCCACATGTCTACCCCAAGAGCTTCAGTGGCTTAACAGAGTTGTAACCAGCAATGGGGAAGGGTCCCCAGCCCTATAGCCTACACAGCATTCTGTATCTTGGGGAACAGGCTGTGCAGTGTCCTCGGGAGGCTTCCCCATAACAAAGTGAACCAAGGCATTTGCTCAGAGAGCTTCAAAGCCACCTGCCTGTGGCAACTACTACTGACAGTAACCTACCCATCCTCTCAGCAGTAGGGTTACTATGAACTTGTGCATGCCTGGAAGACAGGTTCTCCTTGATCACCACCTACCCAGTCAGTGCAGCCACCACAGAGGGCCAAAGTGCATGTTCCTCAGATCCTAAAAAACAACTAACAAAGGCTGTTGCCACTGAAAATGACTCTGCCTCCCCCAACAGCAGAGCTGCAACACACTTGCACATGAACTGAAGACAGGCTCTCCTTGCCTGCTACTGTCACTGACATTTCAATCCAAACAAGTTGCATGGGAATCACCCCACATTGTCCACCATAGCATGTGTCCATGCATAGAATTGGAAAACCTAAGGACAGGCCTGCTTGGCCTGTAACAACTGATCTCCCCGCAACAGCTTGAGCATACTTCCTGATATGGTTTGGCTGTGTCCCTGCCCAAATTTCTTCTTAAATTGTAGTTTTCATAATCCCCACATGTGGTGGGAGGGATGCAGCAGGAGGCAATAAAATCATAATGGCAGTTATTCTCATGCTATTCTCATAATAGTGAGTTCTCACGATGATTTAATAAGGGGCTTCCCCTTTTGCTCAGTTCTCATTCTCCTCTCTCCTGCTGCTTTGTGAGCAAAGATGTGTTTGCTTCCCCTTCTGCCATAATGGTAGGTTTCCTGAGGCCTTTCAGCACTGCAGAAATGTGAGTCAAATAAACCTCTTTCCTTTATAAATTACCCAGTCTTGGCTATGTCCTTACAACAGCATGAGAATGAATTAATACAGTAAATTGGTACCAGGAGTGGGGTGTTGCTGTAAAGATACCCAAAAATGTAGAAGTGACTTTGAAACTGGGCAACAAGCAGAGGTTGGAACAGTTTGGAGGGCTCAGAGAAGCACAGAAATATGTGGAAAGGTTTGGAACTTCCTAGAGATTTGGAGGGCTCAGAAGACAGGAAGATGTGGGAAAGTTTGGAACTTCCTAGAGACTCATTGAATGGCTTTGACCAAAATGCTGATAGTAATATGGACAATGAAGTTCAGGCTGAGGTGGTCTCAGATGGAAAGGAGAAATTTCTTGGGAAATGGAGCAATGATGACTCTTGCTATGCCTTAGAAAAGAGACTGCCAGCATTTTGCACTTGCCCTAGAGATTTGTGGAACTTTGAACTTGAGAAAGACAATTTGGGGTATCTGGCAGAAGAAATTCCTAAGTGGCAAAGCACTCAAGAGGAAGCAGAGCATAAATGTTGGGAAAATTTCCAGCCTGGTGATGTGATAGAAAAGGAAAAAAAACTCCTGAGCTCAGTCAGTCCTCCTACCTCGGCCTCCCAAAGTGCTAGGATTACAGGCATGAGCCACCATGCCTGGGCAACACAGCAAAACCCCATCTCTACCAAAATACAAAAAATTAGCCAGGCATGGCAGTGTGCACCTGTGGTTCCAGCAACTTGGAAGAGGCAGAAGAATTTCTTGAACCCAGGAGGCAGAGGTTTCAGTGAGTCAAGATTGTGCCACTGCACTCCAGCCTGGACAACACAGTGAGACTCTGTCTCCAAAAAGAAAAAACAAAAAAATTTCTAAGAAGTCATTCAAGCCTGCTGCAGAAATTTACATAAGTAACAAAGAGCTAAATATTAATCACCAAGACAATAAGGAAAATGTCTCAAGGCATGTCAGAGACCTTCACAGCAGCCTCTCCCATCAGAGTCCTGAGGTCCTAGGAGGAAAAAATAATGGTACTGTGGGCTGGGCCTAAGGCCCCCCTGCTCTGTGCAGCCTCAGGACATGGTGCCCAGCATCCCAGCTGCTCAGCTCCAGCCATGGCTAAAAGGGGCCAAGGTATAGTTCAGGCCATGGCTTCAGAGGGTGCAAGCCCCAAGCCATGGTGCCTTATACGAGATATGGGGCCTGTGGGTCACCCCTTCACAGGCTAGCAGGAAAGAGAATGAGTGCCATCAGGGCAAATGACAGATGCTTATAAAACCATCAGATCTTGTGAGACTCACTCATTATCACAAGAACAGCATAGGAGGAAATTGCCCCCATTATACAATTACTTCCACCTGGTCCCACACTTGACACATGAAGATTTTTCCAATTCAAGGTGAGATTTGCATGGGGACACAGAGCCAAACCGTACTATTCCACCGCTAGTCCTTCCCAAATCTCATGTACTCATATTTTAAAACACAATTGTGCCATTTCAACAGTCCTCCAAAGTCCTAACTCATTCCAGCATTAACCCAAAGGTTCAAGTCCAAAGTCTCAACTAAGACAAGGCAAGTAAAACCAAAAGCAAGTTAGTTACTTCCTAGGTATAATGAGGGTACAGGCATTGGGTAGATACAACCATTCCCAATGGAAGAAATTGACACAAAAAAAGGGGCTGCAGGCTGCATGCAAGTCTGAAATCCAAAAGAGAAGTCATTAAACCTTAAAGTTCCACAATGATCTCCTTTGACTCCATGTCTCACATCCAGGTCATGCTGATGCAAGAAGTGGGATATCACAGCCTTGGGCAGCTCCGCCTCTGTGCCTTTACAGGGTACAAACCCTCTCCTGGCTGCTTTCATGGGTTGACTGTGAGTGCTTGTGACTTTTCTAAGCACACAGTGCAAGCTCTTGGTGGATCTACCATTCTGCAGTCTGGAGGATAGTGGCCCTCTTCTCACAGCTCCATTAGGCAGTGCCCCAGTGGGGATTGTGTGGCAGGGCTCAAACCCCACATTTCCCTTCTGCACTGCCCTAACAGAGGTTCTACATGAGGGCTCTGCCCCTGGAGCAAAATTCTGCCTGAACATCCAGGCATTTCCATACATCCTCTAAAATCTAAGAGGAGGCCTCCCAGCCTCGATTCTTGACTCCTGTGCAGCCACAAACCCAACACCACATGTACGTTGCAAAGGCTTGGGGCTTGCACCCTCTGAAGTAAAATCCTGAGCTGCACATTGGCCCCTTTTAGCCATGGCTGGGACTGACACACCTGGGACACAGGGCACCATGTCCTAAAGCTGCACAGAGCAGGGTGATCCTGGGCCCAGCCCATGAAAGCATTTTTCCTTCCTAGGCCTCTGGGTCTTTGATGAAAGGAGTTGATGAGAATGTCTCTTTCATGCCCTGGACACATTTCCCCATTGTTTTGGTGATTAACATTCAGCTCCTGGTTACTTATGCCAATTTCTGCAGCAGGCTTGAATTTCTCTTCAGAAAATGGGTTTTTATTTTCTATTGCACTCACAGGTTACAAATTTTCCAAACTTTTACTCTCTGCTTTCTCTTGAACACTTTGCCACTTAGAAATTTCTTCTGCCAGTTACCCTAAATGGTTTCTCTCAAGTTCAAAGTTCCAGAGATCTCTAGCACAGGGGAAAAGTGCTGCCATCTCTTTGCTAAAGCATAGCTAGAGTCACCATTGCTCCAGTTCCCAAGAAGTTCCACAACTCCATCTGAGACCACCTCAGCCTTGACTTCAGTGTTCATATCACCATCAGAATTTTGATCAAAGCCATTCAACAAGTCTTTAGGAAGTTCCGAACTTTCCCACATCTTCCTGTCTTCTGAGACCCCCAAATCTCTAAGAAGTTCCAAATTTTTCCACATTTCTCTGTGCTTCTTCTGAGCCCTCTAAACTGTTCCAACCTCTTCCTGTTACCCAGTTCCAAAGTCACTTCCGCATTTTGGGGTGTCTTTATAGCAACACCCTACTCCTGGTACCAATTTACTGTATTGACCCATTTTCACACCACTACAAAGAAATACCAAAGACTAAGTAATTTGTAAAGTAAAAAGATTTTATTGACTCACATTTGTGCAGTGCTGTGGAGGCCTCAGGAAATTTACAATCATGGCAGAAGGCACCACTTCACAGGGTGGCAGGAGAGAGAATGAGTGCTAGCAGGGCAAATGCCATTAGATATTGTAAGACTCACTCATTATCATGAGAATAGCATGGGGAAACCACCCCCCATGATCCAGTTACTTCCACCCTGTCCTACCCTTGACATGTGGTGATTAATACAATTCATAGCGAGATTTGGGTGGGAACATTGAGCAAAACCATATTATCCCCTCTGCCGAGATTTCAAAGAATGTATGGAAAAACCTGGGTGCTGAG
Organism: Homo sapiens; assembly: GCF_000001405.40. Taxonomy (NCBI): domain Eukaryota; kingdom Metazoa; phylum Chordata; class Mammalia; order Primates; family Hominidae; genus Homo; species Homo sapiens. The sequence continues at coordinate 83,754,118 of NC_000010.11, forward strand.
GCAGGATTCTGCTGACAGTGTTGAGCCCTCACAGAGAACCTCTACTAGGGCAGCGACAAGGGGAAATGTAGGGCTGGAGACCCCATACAGAATCCCCACTGGGTCACTGCCTAGTGGAGCTGTGAGAATGGGGCTATATTAGTTCTATTTTATGCTGCTGATAAAGATATACCCGAGACTGGGCAATTTACAAAAGAAAGAGGTTTAATGGACTCACAGTTCTACATGGTTGGGGAGGCCTCATGATCATGATGGAAGGTGAAAGACATGTCTCACATGGCAGCAGACAAGAAAAGAGAGCTTGTGGAGGAAAACTCTTCTTTGTAAAACCAACAAATCTTATGAAACTTATTTACTACCACAAGAACAGTATGGAGGAAAACCACCCCTATGATTCAATTATCTCCCACTAAGTGCCTCCCACAACACATGGGATTATGGGAGCTACAATCCAAGATGTTATTTGAATGGGGACACAGCGAAACCATATCAGGGGCCACTGCCCTCCAGACCCGAGAATAGTAGATTCACTGGCAGCTTGCACCCTGCACCTGGAAAAGCCACAGGCACTCAACAACTTGTGAAAGCAGCCTTGGGGGCTGAACCCTGCAAAGCCACACAGGTGGAGATTCCTGAGGCCTAGAGAGCTCACCCCTTGAACCCATTTGCCCTGGATGTGGGACATGGAGTAAAAAGAGATTATTTTGAAGCTTTGAAGTTTAATGACTTCCTTGATGAATTTTGGATTTACCTGAGACTTGTATCCCCTTTCTTTTGGCCAATATCTCCCTTTGGGGATGGGAATATTTGCCCAGTGCCTATACCACCAATAAATTATCGAAGTAAATAACTTGCCTTTGAATTTACAGGTTCATAGGCAGAAGGAATTTTCCTTGTCTCAGATGAGACTTTGGACTTTGGACTTTTGAGTTAATGCTAGAATGAGGCAAGACTTTGGAGGGACTACTGAGAAAAGGTGACTGTATTTTGAAATGTAAAAAGGATATGAGATTTAGGAAGGGCTAGGGGCACAATGATATAGTTGGGATATTTGTCCTTGCCCAAATCTCATGTTGAAATGTAATCCCCAGTGTTGTAAGTAGGGCCTGGATGGAGGTGTTTACATCATGGGGGCAGATCCCTTGGTTTTTGTCATGGCATTGGTGATAAGTGAGCTCTTGCTCTGAATTCACATAAGATCTAATCACTTAAAAGTATGTGAAATCTGGCCGGGCACGGTGGCTCATGCCTGCAATCCCAGCACTTTGGGAGGCCAAGGCAGATGGATTAACTGAGGTCAGGAGTTCGAGACCAGCCTGGCCAACATGGTGAAACTCCGTCTCTACTAAAAATACAAAAATTAGCCAGGCAGGGTGGCACATGCATGTAATCCCAGCTACTCAAGAGGCTGAGGCACTAGAATTGCTTGAGCCTGGGAGGTAGAGGTTGAAGTGAGCCTAGATCACACCACTGCATTCCAGCCTGGGCAACAGAGTAAGAGTCTATCTCAAAAAAAAAAAAAAAAAAAAATATGTTACATCTCCACCCCTACTACTTCCTTCTGCTTTTTTCACATTATATACCTGCTCTCATTTCATATTCTGCCGTGAGTAAAAGCTTTCTGAGGCCCCCACAGAAGCAGTTGCCAGTGTTATGATTTCTGAATAGCCTGCAGAACTGTGAACACATTAAACCTCTTTTCTAATAAATTACCTAGTCTCAGATATTTCTTTATAGCAAAGCAAGAATGGCCTAATACACAAAGACAAAGAGATAATTCTAAAAACAGCAAGAAAAAAATTGTCTAGTCACATATAAGGAATTCTCATCAGACTTCCAACTGGTTTTCAGTAGAAATCCTACAGCCCAGAAGAGAGTGGAATGATATATTCAAAATGCTAAAAAAAAAATAAAACTAAGCCAAAAATACTATAGCCAGCAAATTATACTTTATAAATGAAGAAGTAAAACCATTTCCAGGCAAGTAAAAACTAAGGGAATGCATCATGACCAGACTAGCCCTACAAAAAATTCTTAAGGGAATTCTACACATTGAAGCAAAAGGACAATATCTACCATTATGAAAACACAAAGGAACAAAACATATCGATAAAGTAAACATAAAAATGAATAAGAGAAAGAACTCAGAGTTAGCACTACCACCAAATAACAATGATAAATAACAGGAGAGAAATAAAGGAAGAAAGCATACACAAAACAATAAAAAAAATTAACAAAATGACAGGAATAAGGTCTTACATATCAGTGATAATCTTGAATAAAATGGATTGAATTTTCCATTTAAAGGTATAAAATAGCTGAATGTATTGAAAAAACATGTTTCAACTATATGCTGCCTACAAGAGACTAACTTCACCTGTGAAGATACAAATAGAGTAAAAGAAAATTTAAAAAACTTATTAAAACAGATAAAAATTTACAAACAAATACCAAAACCTATAGAATACAACAAAAGTAGTGCTAAAGAAAAGTTTATAGTAATAAATGCCTAAATAAAAAAATGTGAATGGTTTTGAATAATCAAGCTAAAATATACCTCAATTAACTGGAAAAGCAGTAACAAACCAAGCCCAAAATTAGTAGAAGGAAAAAAATAATAAATAACAAAGAAGAACCATACAAAGAATGAATGAAATAAAAAGTTGATGTTTTGAAAGATGAACTAAATTTATAAACTGCTAGCTACATTAACCAGTAAAAAAGAGAGTATACCCAAAAAATGAACAAAATCAGAAACAAAGAGGGAACATGACAACTGATAGCACAGAAATGTAAAAGATCACCAGAGAGTACTACAAACAAGTATACAGAAATAAACTGGAAAACATTGAGAAAGTAGATAAATTCATGGACACATAAACCTACCAATCTTGAATCAGGAAAAAATAGAAAACATGAACAGACCAATAACAGGCATCAAGATTGAATTGGTATGCAGAAGTCTCCCAACTAGGAAAAGCCCAGAATGTCATGACTTCACTGCCAAACTCTACTAGACTTACAAAGAAGAACAACAATTCTCCTCAAACTATTCCAAAAAAATTAAAGAGGAAGGAATTCTCTCTAACTTATTCTATGAGGGCAGAGATGCATTGATATGAAAACCATACAAGGACACAATAAAAAAGAAAACTACAGGCTAATATTTCTAATAAACATAAACACAAGAATTTTTAACAAAATACAACCAAATGAATCCAAAAGCATATCAAAAAGAATACACCATGATCAAATGGGATTTATACCAGTATTGTAAGGATGGTTCAGCATATGCAAATCAGTAAATGTGAGCCATTCACATCAAAAATATGAAGAACAAAACCATCTGATCATCTCAATAGATTCAGAAAAAGAATTCTATAAAATTAAATGTCTTTTATGAAAAAAGCTTTCAATAAAGTAGGCATAGAAAGAACTTACCTCAAAATAATAAAATGCATTTATGACAAACACAGCTACATCATACTGAATGGAGAAAAGCTGAAAGCTGTTCTTTAAGAACTGGAATAAGACAAGGATGCCCACTTTCGCCACTGCTGTTAAACATAGTACTGGAAGTTCTAACCAGAGCTATTTGGCAATGGAAAGAAGTAAAATTCATCAAAACTGGAAAAAAGAAAGTTAAATTATTCCTTTTTTCAGAGCACATGTTCGTATGTTTAAACAAAAACAAAAAAAACACTAAAATCTCTACCAAAATCTCTTATATGCCAATTCAGTAAAATTGCAGGATACAAAATCAACATACAAAACTTACTATTTCTCTAAACTGAGAATAAACTCCCTGAAAAAGAAATCAAGAAGACTACCTCATTTTTAATAGCTACAAATGAAATAAAATAAAATACTTAGGAATATATTTATCCAAGAAAGTGAAAGACTTCTATAAGGAAAATGACAACGCTGATGAAATCAATTGAAAAGGACACAAACAAATGGAAAAGCATTCTATACTCTCAAATTAGAAGACTTAATCTTGTTAAAATAACCATATTACCCAAAGCAACATGCAGATTCAATGCAATCTTCATGAAATACCGAAGCATCTTTCACAGAAATAGAAAAAAAAATTCTAAAAATCATATGGAAGCAAAAAAGTGCCCGAATAGCCAAAGAAATTTTGAGCAAAACAAACAAATCTTGAGGCATCACACTATCTGACTTCAAAATATATGACAAGGCTATAGTAATCAAAACGGTATGATATTGATATAAAAATAGGCACATAAACCAACAGAACAGAATTGAGAACCCAGAAATAGATTTACGTATTTTAGTCCACTGATTTTTGATAAAGGCACCAAGAACATACATTGAGGAAAAGATATCCTCTTTAATAAATGATATTGGGAAACTGGATATCCATATGCAGAAGAATGAAACTAGAACTCTGTATTTTACCATATAGAAAAATCAACTCAAAATGAATTAAAGACTTAAATATAAGACTCAAAACTGTAAATCTTCTAGAAGAAAACATAGGGGAAACACTCCAGGACATTAGTCTAGGCAAAGATTTTATGGTTGAGATCCCAAAAGCACAAGCCAAAAAGAAAAACAAAAATAGACAAATAGGACTATATTGAACTAAAAAACTTTTGCACCAAAAAGGAAACAATCAGCACAGTGAAGAGACAACCTATTGAATGAAAAAAATATATTTGCAAACTATTCATCTGACAAGGAACTAATATCCAGAATATTCAAGGAACTCAAAAACCTTTAAAGAAATATAATAATAATAATTCCATTTAAAAATGGGCTAAGCATCTGAATATACATTCTCAAAAAAAAAGACATACAAATAGCCAACACATATATGAAAAAATGTTCAACATCACTAATCAACTGCACCTGTTCAATAGTGAGCTGTGGGTCCTGCATCAGCCCAAACATGCTCCTCTACTCTGCAGCATTAAAAATCAAACACACTGATCCCAAAGTAGTTGCTCCCATGATCCAGTTTAGTAAAGGTTTCTCAGGAAGCTGACGATATCAATCCACAAAATGAAACTTATTTATTTATTTTTTTTACATTTTACTTTCTGGTTTTAAAAGTTACTTAGTTTTGCCTCCATCACCCCCGCCCCAACCACCCCACCACTGATTACCTTTTTGGTAACCACAGGACTCAGTCATTTTATTTTGTCCCTGGCATTTTTTTTCCCCTTTTAGGTAGCTTTGAGGCTAGCGATCTGAGCTCTGACAGACCTGCACCCAACCTTAGTCCAGCCTCAAAGTTCAACCCAGCACTTTCTTCCTTCCTTCCGTTTTAGCAATTATAGATAACAATAACCAAAGGATTGAATATTTTGCTTTTGGCATCTTAGTTTGCTTCTCTTTATGCATCCATTGAACCAAATCCCCAGGCATTTGAGCCATCTCTAAATTCCACCGGTAACTTTTACCTTTGGTGAACGTGACGCAACACAGCTACAGCTCCGTACCACGGATGACTATGCAGCCACCCGGTAATCAACTTTCACATTTCCACCCTTTTGTCCTTTCTCTTTCTATCCATTTAGTTTTAACTGTATCATTTTTTTCTTCATTTGAAACAACCTTTAAATGGCCTCTCAACTAGACAAAGTTACTTTTCCTTTAAGCCAAACCACATCTTCATGTTTTTCATAAACTTCTTTCCCAAAATCACATAGTTTTCTTTATATAAACACTCTGTATATAGAATACCTTTGCCTACATTGAGCAGTTTTAATTACTATATATTAACTACTAGTCTAACTCTTAGTAACCCAAATTCCTAGTAAAAACTCTAGAATTGCTTAATTTACCATAGCATGACTTCAGATTTTAAATCATTGAAGAGAATTTTGAAATTAGTTTTATTTACCAAAGATTATTAAAGCATGTGAACTAACAGGCATTTGAGCTAACTTTTATTTTTCTAATAAAATATTTTATTTATGTGTATAATTTCACTTTAAGCCAATTGATTAGAACTTCTTTGTATATTTTCTAGTGAAATATCACTTACATAGGACGCATATCAACATAACAGACACGCAGAAAGAAGCAGATCTTGTGTATAGGGTTTTTCATTTCCCAGTTTTCAAAGCTTCACCCCAACTTTAGACTGTCAATCTCTTAAATAGCTGCTTTATGCCCTAAACAATTGTTAGGGAAGCAACTTTAAATTAGCGTCTCCAAAGACAGGACTCAGGGGAACTAGATAGAAAATTTACATCTCAAAGACACAGAACATAGATCTAAACAAATGCAGTGTTTGTTATGTAAACTTTAAACCATTCTGTTCCCCATAAAGTTCCTAGTGGTTTAAGTGCAGAGACAGGTAAGCCTTTAAAAATTGAGGTTTCTTTTAAATATGAAAATTACTTTTACAAAGAGTTTCAAAGACTGATTTAGTTTGACAGGTGGTCTTTTCAACTTAGCTTGTTTCTTAGTTAGATTACTGATTTTAGGATAGAGTTCTTTAAGAACTCTAAAGCATGAAGTTTTTAGGGTCTAACACGTGCTTTTCTTATCCAGACATACAAAGAACTTAGCAGCCCCCTGTAGCAATGACCATCTTCTCCAAATAACTGTCCTTAGTCACCTCCAACACTGCAGCTCTTGCCCACCATCACACTACCAACCATCAAACACACATCAAGGTCAAATCCTCTCACAGTGTCAAGCAATCTATGGTACTCCCCAAAAAGCCAAAGATAATTCAATACAAAAGAGAGCAGAGTTTTATCTGTCCACTCACAACTTTGGGGGTGCCATGAAGAAAAATAGGTTTCTCCCCAAAAGAGAAATCTGGGGCCTTTTCCATTTTCCCCAAGGGATCCCAGGCTGTCATAATTCTTTCTTTTGTTGTTCCCTAATGTGGCATTGAGGATGACAACAGGAAGGAGGGACAGGCAGATGGAAATAGAGGCACAGTCAGGATTCATTTGACTGAGAAGTTTTAGAGAGAACAGAGGCCTTAAAACAATATATAGGTATACATATATAGCTCAGGTCGTAGGTTTAATTAAGTCAACTTTTTACTATCAAGCTCTTTAAAGAGAAACCGTTTCCAATTGTAATTCCTACTGAAGCCATTTTACTTTGCTTCTGCTAGCTGGGCTTCTGTTGCCAAATAGGCAGCCCACAGAAGTGGCCATCTGCTGCAGTGGCAGCTCACCACCATTCCTTACCACAGGGTGATAGATGGCTCACAGCTAACAATTTCTCTAAACATACTGGTGTTTACAAGGCATCCCTATACTCATGCAGAAGCATCTAAAAGGTAGAGCCACACTACTCCAGATAGAAATGGCTGCCACCTGGGATGTCCCCCATGGACTTCTTCCATGGTTGATTCATTCCCTTTGCCCATATTTTCGTCTCTTAGCTCCTGGCCTGGCTTGCCACAAGTTTCACAGTGGGCAGTTCTATGCAAACCTATCTGATATGCTTTGGCTTTATGTCCCCACCCAAATCACATCTCAAATTGTAATCCCCATAATCTCCACTTGTCGAGGGAGGGACCTAGTGGGAGGTGATTGGATCATGGGGGTGGTTTCCCACATGTTTTTCTAATGATAGTGAGTTCTCACGAGATCTGATGGTTTTATAAGCATTTAACAATTCCTGCTCCACACGCTCTCTTTTGCTTGCTGCCATGTAAGACAGGTAGGCTTCCCCTTCCACCATGACTGTAAGTTTCCTGAGGTCTCCCAAACCATGTGGAACTGTGAATCAATTAAACCTCTTTTCTTTATAAATTACCCAGTCTCGGAAAGTTCTTTATAGCAGTGTGAAAACAGACTAATACACTATTCCAAAGTCTGAGGAAGCTGAGAAGCTGAAGAAAAAGGCTGACAAATACAGTTTCTTAGAAAGAAAGATTTAATAGGGACTTATGAACAGAAGCCATGTCTGTGACACAAGCAGCAGTGAGATGAGATCATGGATCCCCGCCTCAATTCACTTTATAAAGCCAACACCTAATACAAAAATTAAAGATGGTTTTTAAAGACTAATGTCCTTCGTGAATAAAGATGCAAATATTCCCAACAAAATATTAGCAAATCCAATCCAGAACATATAAAAAGAATGTATGCCACAACCAAGAGATATTTTTTCTCTCCAAGGATGAAAGTTTGTTTCAATACATAAAATTTATCAATATAATTTATCACATTAACTTTTTAAAGAAAAAAATTACAAGATATCAACTGATACAGAAGAGATATTTGACAAAAATAAATTGATAATAAAACTCTCAGAAAATTAGAACTAGAAAGAAACTGTCTCAACCTGATAAAAAGCATTCACAAGAAGCCTATGGTTAACATCATACTTAATATTGATATACTAAATATTTTACTCCAAAGATTAGAAATAAAGCAAAGATGTTTATTGTTACCACTCATATTTAACAGTGCATTTCAGTCTTAGCCAGTGTAATAAGGCAAGGCAAAGAAATAAAAAGCATAATGATTGGGAAGAAAGAAATAAAACTGTTTGTAATTGTAGATGGTATGACAATTATAAGGCATCAACCAAAAAAAATGAAAAACAATTTTGAGAACTAATAGTGACAAGGTCATAAGATATAAGAGAAATTCAAAAAATTGAAAATTTCTATATGCTAGTAATGAAAAAATTGAAAATCAAATTTTAAAACATAATACCATTTACAATTACTACAAATAAGGAACACTTAAGTATATGTTGAACCAAAAATGTAGAGAATCTACATTCTAAAAACTTTAAAATGCTGGTGAAGGAAATCAAAGATGACCTAAATAAATGGAAAGACATAATGTGTTTATGTTTTGGAATATTCAACATAGTGTCAATTTTCCTCAAATTAAAATACAAGCATACTACAATTTCTACCGAAATATCAAGAAAATTAGTTAGAAATACAAACCAGGTAATTTTGAAATTTATATAAAAGGCCAGATGACCCAGCATAGCCAAAACAGATTATTTCAATAAACAAAACTGATCACCAAACAAAATTAATCACTGAAGAATTTGAACTAAGGAGATACTAATTTCTACAGGCAGAATAAAGCCTGAAAATGAAAAATTCATTCAATGGGCCATAGCATTACCCTAATAGCCAATCCAAATAAGGACATTACAAGAAAAGAAATCTATAGACCAGTATCTCTTATGAACATGAACAAAAAAATCCTCAGCAAAATATTAGCAAATTCAATACAACAATGTATAGATCTGAACAGATATATCACCAAAGAAGATTTACAGATGAAAAATAAGCATATGAAAAAATTCTTAGCACCATTTGTCATTAGGTAATTGCAAATTGAAAAATAATGATGAGATACCACTATACACCAGTTAGAATGGCTAAAATAAAAAAAAATAATAATAACTGAAAATACCAAATACTGGCAAGGATGTGGAGCAACAGAAACTTTTGTTTATTGCTGGTGGGAATGCAAAATGCTACAGCCATTTTGAAAGAAATGTTGGCAGTTTCTTATAAAGCTAACATAGTCTTATCATATGATCCAGCAATCATAGTCCTAGATATTTGTCCAATTAATTTGAAAAAATATGTCCCAGAAGAGGGAAAAAAATGACATGCAACCACTTTTCATGGCAAGGTGAAACAACATTAAGCACTCAGTATATTTCAATATCAGAGAAATTTGTTTAAATTTTTGGCACAGTTTTAAAAAATGTATCCCCAACTAAACTGGAGAAATTAGGTAGAACATAGTCTGCTAAATATTTCTAGAATTCAAGGTACCTTTGAAAAGAATTATACATAGAAGAAATCTTTTAAAACAGAAGTGTTAAAATCTTGTATATTTAAAAAGAGAAACAAAAACTTCCTAGAAGGATGTACTAAATAGTTGATTTCTCACATTATGAAGGAACTGTCCTGCCCTCAAAACTTCTCCATGTCCATATAACTCACAAGCACACAAAATTTTCAGGATAAAAAAATAAGCATCTCTGGTTACCCAACCATATGTCTTATAGAACAAACAGGAAAAATGGAGAAAGAAGACAGATATTTCCAAACTGAATCAACTTACTAACAAACATATTCTTTATAATATCTGTAAAGTTGCCTCAAGGCAAAATAATCAGATTAAACAATTGGCTCTTAACCACAGCATGTTAAGAAAATCATAGAGCTACCAGGATGATGTCTTTGGGTTACCACCCAGGTACTGTCACATATAGATATGAAAAAAACAGTCAACAATAGGAAAGAATTGGGGTGTTCAATTTGTCAGCACATATACTAAAATTGAAATGATACCAAGTAAATTAGCATGGCCTCTGCATAAGGATCCCATAAAACTTTGTGAAGCATTACGTATTTTGGGGATTGGATAGTTATTGTTTAATGGGTATGAAGTTTCAGTTTTACAAGATGAGAAAGTTCTAGAGATGGATGCTGGTCATGGCTGAACAACAATATGAATGTGTACTTACTGCCACTGAACTATACATTTAACAGTTAAAATAGTAAATGTTATGATATCGTGCAAGGTGTCAGAATTGAAATGGAGTAGCTTGTGCCAAACCCTAACAAAATAAATAAATAAAGCCAGGAGGTTGAGAAGGGAGAACTCTCATATACACATGCCTGTGGGAAAAAAATCTAATACAAAGACCCTGAAGGGCTCTTACGCACGTATGCCTATAAGAAGAACATTTGCCAAGGACTTTATAAACTGCAGTTTGCTACATGAGTCACAAGGACAGCTAGCTGGATGGACGAGAATACTTGCATGACACACTGTCTCCACTAATGAACTGACGTCAACTCCTGCGATAAGCCCCTGTACCCACTTGTTCTCTGTTTTAAAACAAATTAAATGTACTTTTTTCTTTTGCCTTTAAAGCTTCCCCTTGCCTTAATCCCTCTGGATATACTTAATGATCCTCAAAGCCCTTACAGCCTAGATTTGCAAATCCTCTACACATTCCTGAATAAACTCAGTAACTTTAGGGAATCTCTGTGTTACTTAGGTTGACAATGGATATATTTTACCACAATAATACAATTTTTAAAAAGGATTCAGGAAATATGAAAATGGTTCAATTCTTCCCAAAATCACTTTTCCAACTTAATTCCAGGTTTGTGAAATTTTTGTTTTCATGATTTATTTCCTTGAGGTAAAAAAAACACCTACCTTGCTCTTTTTTAATTAAACACATTTGGAGACAATTACAGATTCACATGTAGCTGTGAGAAATAATATGGAGAGACCTCATGTACACATTACCCAATTTCCCCATAAAAACAACTTGGAAAACCATTGTACAATACTATCACCCACTACACTAAAATTGATAGTCAAAATACAGAACATTTTCATCACACGAGGATACTTCATTCACCTTTTTATTTCCATAGCCATTTCCCTCTTGGTCCTGCCCTCTCCTTAACCCCGGCAGCCACCGATCTCTTCTCCATCTCTATAATTTTGTCATTTCAAGAATACTATATAAGTAGAATCATATAGTATGGAAACTTTTGGAATTGCCTTTTTTATTATTCAGCATGATTATCTGGAAATTCATCCAGGCTGTTGTGTGTATCAATATTTGGTTTCTTTTTATTGCAGAGTAGTATTCCATGATATGGATGTATTACAGTTTGTTTAACTATTCACTTATTGAAGAACATATGCATAGTTTCCAATTTGGAGCTATTATGAATAAAGCTGCTATAAACATTCGTGTACAGGTGTTTGTGTAAGCTACGCTTTTATTTTTTCTAGAATAAATGCCCTGGAATGCACTTGCTGAGTCATGTGGTAGTTGCATATTTAGTTTTATAAGACACTGACAAACTGTTTTGCAGAGTAATTGTACCTTTCACATTCCAAGCAGCAATGAATGGGAGATCCATTTGTCTGCATTCTTGTCAGCATTCAATGTTGTCCCTCCTTCAATTAATTACTTTTTTAGGCATTCTGATACATGGGTAGTGATATCTCATTGAGGTTTTAATTGCCATTTCCCTAATGGCTAATAATGTTGAGTATTTTTTCATATGCCATTGTATATTTTAATGACATTTCTCTGCACGTAATTTGCCCATTTTCTAATTAGATTTTTGTAATTTTGTTTAGCTTTGAGAGTTCTTTATATTGTCTAGATACTGTTAGATATGTTGGATATTTTGTTTACATATCTTTTATCCTACAATGTAGCTTGTCTTTTTATCATCTTAACAAGATATTTCACAGAGAAAAATTTTTAAATTTAATGAAGTATTACTTATCAGTATTTCTTTGTATAAATTGTCTTTTGCTATCAAGTCAAAAAATTCTTTTTCTTACTCTAGATTTTGACAACTTTCTATTTTTTAAAGATTTATAGTTTTGCATTTAACATTTAAGTTCATAATCCATTTTGAATTAATTTTTTATAAGGTGAGATACATATCATTTCGTTTTTTGCATATGGATATCCAGCTTCTCTAGCACCATTTATAAAAAAGGCTGTCTTTCCTCCATTGAATTGCTTTTGCATCTTTGTCAAAAATCAGTTGGGCATATTTGTGTGATTATATTTCTGGGTTTTCTATTCTGTTCCATTAGCTATTTATCTATCCCTCCACCAATGACACACACTTTTTTTTTTTTTTTTTTTTTGAGTCAGGTTCTCACTCTGTCACCCAGACTGGAGTGCAGTGGTGCAATCTCAGCTCACTGCAACCTCTGCCTCCTGGGCTCAAGGAATCCTCCCACCTCGGACTCCCAGGTAGCTGGGACCATAAGCATGTGCCACCACTCCAAGCTAATTTTTGTAATTTTTTTAGAGATGGGGTCTCACTGTGTTGGCCAGGCTGGTCTCAATATCCTGGACTTAAGCAATCCAGCCGCCTTGGCCTCCCAAAGTCCTGGGATTACAGGCATGAGCCACTGCACCCAGCCAACACACAGTCTTGATTACTACATATAATAACTATTGAAATTCGGAATGAATTTCTCCCAAAGGTGATTTTTATCTAGTTCTATTGTCTTTCTATATAAATTTTAGAATAATTCTTTCTATATCTGTAAAAATTGTATTGTGATTGATGGAAATTACATTAAACTTGAATATCAATTAGGGGAAATTGATATTGTTAATATGTTATATATTCTAATCCATGAACATGATGTACTTTCTCTGAACTCATCAGAGTTTTATAGTTTCAGCATACAGGTCATGAACATGTTTGTTAGATTTACATATAAGTATTTCATTTTTGTGCAATTTTACATGGTATTGTACTTTTAATTTTTATGTTCACACATTCTTTGCTAGTATGTAGAAATACATTTTATTTTGGTAGGTGTAGCTTGTATCTTGTGAGTTTGCTGCACTCACTTATTAGTTCTAGAAAAGTTTTGTAGGTTCCTGGAGATTTCCTATGTAGACCATCATGTCATCTGCAAATACGGACAGTTTTTTTCTTATCAATCTGTATTCTTTTATTTGCTTTTCTTGCCTTATTCCACTGGCTGCAATATCCGGTACTATGTTGAATAAGAATGACGAAAGATAAATTGTTGCCTTGTTCCCAATCTCAGGGGAAAGGCATTCACTCTTTCACCATAAAATATAATATTATCTGTAGCTTTTTTATAGATGCTTTTTATCAGGTGAATAAAATTTCCTTATATTTCTATTTTTCTGAGAGTTTTTATCATGACTTGGTGTTGAATTTTGTCAATGCTTCTTCTGCATAATGTAATCTTTTTTAGCCTGTTAATATGATTAAATACATTAATTGATTTTTAAATATTGAACTTTCCTCACATCCCTAGGGGGTGGAAAAACCATTTGGTTCTAGTGTATAATTCTTTTTACATATTGCTGAATTCTATTTGCTAATATTTTCTTAGAAATTTTTGTGTTTATATTCTTGAGGGATAATGATCTGTTGTTTTCTCTTTTGTACTATTATTATTTTATTTTGGTATCAGGGTAATAAGAGCTTTATAAAATTCACTGGAAATTGTTCCCTCTTCTGTTTTCTGGAAGAAGTTGTGTAGAAATGGTCCAGCATCATGTGAAAGAAAGTTAGGATTAGTAAACTTTTATTAGAAAAAACAAAATTGTTCCAATTTTAAAAACAAGAACCACTGGACTAAATTATACATTGGTACCAATGGTTTTGAGTTTCTCCACACATTGACTGGTGAGTGGTAATTGCTGTGTTTGGAAAACACACAAACTGATGCCCTTCTCTTGCTCCCAAATGGCGCCTGAAACCTCTCAGCACCTGTAGTGAAAAGCCCTGTGAAACACGTCCAGATGATAGAGAAGCCCAAAAAGTGGGACGATTCTTTCCCTGGCACTTGACAAAGCCTCAAGGCTCTCTTTCTGAAATGTCATCAGAAGGAACCTTCACACTACTCTTACTGTTGCTTAGGCTTTTGTTTTATTTAGCATATTAGGTCCAAGGAAATTATGCCCAGCAAGGACCACTGCAGTAAATATAAATGCTTTGGTTAATTTGAGCTCTCGTTAATATCTCTTGGTCATTTATTCCGAAGTGGCTATAATGCAGTTGGCCCGGTAAAAAGCTGTTGTTGAAGATCTGCTAATTAAGACAGTTTGACTTAAAAAAAAAGTGTTAATTCAATAGTCGACAAATGTTTGGTTGTTTGTCTATTCTTTGGTTGCAAAAGGTATGGCAAACACTATGCTTTGTTCTGGAACGTAATAGACAAAAACAGAACTGACTGTGGGAGAGACAGATACAAATGAAACAATCACAAAAACAGGCACTTTACAATGTGTGACATAGACTATGATAGACAATAAAAGTGACCAGGTTTGTGAGTCAGGAAAGGCTGGTATTGAGATATAAGGATGAGCTGGAGATAACTAGTGGAGGCTACTCTATGTGTGCCCTAAGAGGTAGATATCACTATGCAAAGTTCAATAAGACACAGTACTGGGCTCTAGAGCTCATAGTCAGCATTTGTACTAGACCTCAGAGAATGAAAGAATGTTTAGGACAGAAAAGTAAGGAAGGGTGATTTCAAACCAAGGGAACAGAAGCACAGTTTGCTATTCTCTAACATAGTATCTTCTAAATTCAAAAAAGAAAACCAGCCCAGGGGCACATACAGTTTCCAACAGACAGAGAAAATCCTTCCTGTATTACTTATCAGCTGATTCTAAAAATCCTCTCTGGACTTCTTAAACTGCATACTTAAACTGCCTGCTTGGGTGGGGGTACAACAAAGGCCTGAGCTCACTCAGCCATGTGCTTTGTGTACTTAAACTTAGACACTTTCGTTATGTCTTTCGTGGAAACAAGCAAAGTAGAGGTCACCGAGGAGATGGTGCTCTCAGCCAGCTGGGGGACCCAAAATTCCATAACAGGATCTATCTCTGCTCACTTTCACTGAAGAGTAGAATTTTCACAGAGGGAGTGGGATTATGGCAGGCCTACTTTCATCGGCAGACCCATCCATTGTTCACAGGATTCTGTTTTAAGTTCCATTTCTTTTCAGCTTTTTATCCAGGGAGTGAGATATGTATCCTGTAGTGTTATATAAAGGGGCCATTGTACCGGGAAAAATTTAGCCTTAACAAAGGACTGCTCTTGAAGGCTGTCTTAATCCTGATCCATTTTATTGCTTTCTTTCATGACATGATACATAAAGCTATGAACATACTGAGGATGACTATTGTTGAGGATAGTTGTTCCTTCTGTTCTAAGTATAAATTGCATTATTTTTTAAATATATAATCACTTGAAAAGAGGAATACTATAACTGGACTATTTATATAACCAGTTGTACAACAGATGCAGTGTAATCCTATGTATTAACAAGTGGATCTCAAATACCTTGATGGTGAGATGATGATTAACTTTATTTAACCTCAGGTGAGATGACGAGAAAAATAGGTGTCTTCCCACCTCATTGCCATGTTGAGAAGCTTCAGGGCATCTTACTTAAAAGGTGTTAATTGTATAGCAGAGGAATGCAACTTCAAGAGGTATAGAAAAAGAGCCTTTGAAAAACCAGAGGATGATTATGTTGGTGAATGGTGTCTAGGTAAATAGCATTTCTCTATCCAGGAATCACACCTGTATCTATACCACTTATAGCAAATATGGATGCTGGATGGAGAGGTGTTTTTACTGTTAATTACTGGATATTTTTCTTTAATGTTCCCCTAAAATTTGGCAGTTGAATAAAGCAGAAAGAACATAGAATTTGGGCTTAGAAAGATGGATATTAATACTGACTCTGTTATTTATAACTTAGCCTTTCTATGCTGTTTTAAATTTTGACATCATGCTGCAAGCCAACCGAAGGAGAATTCTGAAAGGTAGTTAAAGAGACCCTAAGACTGGAGGAATGCACAATGGTTGGGCATCTTGCCTCACACACACAACAGAAGGTGACCCAGGCACTGTTTCTTATGACTCCCAACCTAGCAACAGAAGGCAGCCCAGGTAGACTCATTCCTCCTGCAAAGTAACAGGAGTTTCTTGGTAACAACAGGTGAGTTCAACACCATCAGCAAAGGTGATCAATTGCTACCACCACCAAAAATAAGCAAGCAGGAGAAGCACTCTTCTTTATCAAGAGACCTTTTGTTCTAAAAGAGATCCAAAGTGGGCAGACAGAACCAAACAAAAGGAACTCAGCTCAACAAGTGACCCTATTTGGGAAGCCTCTTTATCACTGTAGGCACAAGATGCTCCTCACCTGGCCAGAGAATCTGGGCAAATGGGATGGAGAGGGGAACTAGTATCAGTGGAAGGATTCCTACCACACTTCTCTCCCACCAAGAGACATCCAGGATCCAGATCTGGGTAACCCCCTTCCATCCCCTCAGGTAGCAGAAGCAGAGACCAGTGGAAGCCCCATCTGTACCAGGCAATCAAAGAGGCCAAAATAGCACTCAACTGGCTATGAAACTCAACTGCTATTGGAACTACAACCCACAAATTACACCATGGCCTGCAAGTTAAAACTAAAGAGGGTAATTGCATGAAAAAATGAAACAGTTAAATGAGACCCAGAGTCTCCTAACATAATAGGCAAAGTGTCTAAGACACAATCAAAAGTCATCCATCATACAAAGAATGAGGAAAATAATAACTTGAGTGAGAAAAGTCAATCAACTGATGCCAATGCCAAGATGAATCAGATGATAGATTATCTGACATGGATTTTAAAGCAGCCATGATAAAAATTCTTCAAAAATCAATTACAAATTCTATTGAATCAAATGAAAAATAATAAAAAGTTCAGCAAAGAACTAGAAATTATTTTTTAAAACAAATACAAAGTACAGAACTGAGAAATATAATGACAGAATTAAATTCAATCCCAGGATTTTATGCAGGGTTTTTTTAGTTTTAAATAAGTTTTAAATTTTTACATTATGTTGCCCATTCAAATGAATTGCGTAGTCCTTACTACAGAATATAAGCCCAGTCAATCTTAAAATAGTTTCTTTTACATAAATTTTACAAATTTTGACACTGAGAAATGCTATATTCTTATAACTAATCACAAACTGAAGGACTCATTTCAACATTAACTTAAGCAAAACGTTTTTCCCATACTATGTCCCTTGTTGCTTTCTACAGGCAACAAAATGAATCAATCAGCACACAATTATTAAACAAATGTATAGGATTTTATCCATCCTGAGAATGAAATTTTGATATATCATTATTTACATTTGGGAAACCAATTACCTCATGTAGAAAAACAAATGTTTACATTCTCTGTTGTACAGAAGATAGAGATAGAGACTCTAAACCTCTGCCCATCATGGTTATCACTGAGAAATCTCATCAGATAAGCTTTAAAAAACCTCATTGTTTATTCAGAGCCAGGTGTTTTCTGGTTCATGTCCTAATTCAAAGCAAGAGTCCAAGACCATTCTCCATTTGCAAGGCTTGAAGTCCACAGCCCTCAGTATCCTCTACAGGACTCCCAGGAGCCATTCTCTGAGTCAAGGGTGCAGAGACCTATTTAGTGTGGCACATGAATGGGAAAGGCATCTCAGACACAGACATTACAGATATCCTTATCACCTTCCCAGTATTGGAAAAACTAGTCTTTCCCAAGTAAGGTCATTCTAATTCTTCTTTCTTAATTGACAAAATTTTCTATGAGTGTAGGATTCCAAATCCAAAATCCGGGTAGGTTATCTAGCCCTGTTTAGACTTAGCTCTACAAAAACTCAAAAGCGAATAAGGCCTGTCCATCATCTGATAGCAGATATTAATGAAGGAGCTAATTATATTACAATCTGTGATCACATGAATTAACGTGCCAAGTGAAGGCAAAATTTTGGGAGACTGAATAGCCATGGCCACAGACCAGTGTGAAAGGCATTTTTAAAAAAGACCTCAAGGACTGTGGTGTGGAGTGGTTATTACCAACAGCATTAGATTTATAAATGGAAAGGCCAAAATAAATATCTCAATTCAAGGCACATGCTGAAAACTTGAGAAGACTTGTTAAGAGTGTACTTCAAAAGTAATATGTGTCCTCACAGGGTGGTGGTGAAGATTAAAAGAGATAGCTGTGAATGTGACTGGGTCCTGGGAATCTGCCTTTACTTTTCCTAAATCAGGATGGAGGTTGGGATAAGAATCATACTTGGGACCTCAGAGATCATCCAGTCATCTTACAGATGGCAGACTAGAGGATTTTGTAGCATGCCTCTCCCACTTCGAAGAAGCAAAGTAATGTGTACAGTTTCACACTATGAGCTTTTATACTGAAATGAACATAGGAATTCAATAGAAAAGTTAAGAAAACCTCAGATATGGGAAAGAAAGTAGATGAGCAGCCTGCATGGGGAGGTCTGGCTGAAAACTGTGAGTGAATTCCCAGTACAAGAGAAGAAGATGAGAGTCTCTCTGTGATCCACTTTCCCACAGAGGAATCATGCAATCCAGTCCATGGGAGAACACCTTGACCTTCTCAAGCCCTGGATCTAACTTGTAGAGTGGCCAGGAAACTGTGAGAAGGAACAGCACTAGGAAGTGTCCCAAGCATTTTCCTAGACCTAGGTGCTGAGAGGAGTGATGGTAGATTCAATCCTAGCTCATTGCAAATTGTGCAGAATCCTGCGACCTAGGAATGATGGTAGCCACTGGCATTAGAGAGTCTCAGGCTAGGGATTGGAGATCTGGGTCTGTATTAGTCCGTTTTCATGCTACCGATAAAGACATACCCGAGACTGGGAAGAAAAAGAGGTTTTAATGGACTTACAGTTCCATGTGGCTGGGGAGGTCTCACAATCATGGTGGAAGGTGAAAAGCATGTCTCACATGGCAGCAAACAAGAAAAGAATGCTTGTGAAGGGAAATTCCCCTTTATAAAACTATCAGATCTCATGAGACTTATTCACTATCATGAGAATAGCACAGGAAAGACCTGCCCCATGATTCAATTACCTCCCACCTGGTCCCTCCCACAATATGTGGGAATTCAAGATGAGATTTGGGTGGGGACACAGCCAAACCACATCAGGGTCTCAAGTGGGTTAGGGACCCTCACAGCCAGAACTGAGAAAAGAGTATAGCAGCCTTCAGCCATGTGTGCTGGAATTAGGTCCCCCCTTTCAAGGGAGTGGTTCCCTAAGAAGTATGGTTTTTATCTAGGCATCAAGTTTTATAGTCCACAGCAAATGTGCAGACTGAAAGCAAACTGTGTGGGGCTTAACTAAGTGTTTTGACTGACTCCCACAGTCAACAGTCAGGACAGGAGCATGAGCCCTTCAGGTCTGGAGCATAAGAGGAAAGCAAGTCCCACTACTGCTCACCTGGCTGTGGTGTCAAGACCAACTCTCCCTTCTCATGCTGAAACCTCAGCACACCAGCGGTTGCTCCACTCCTCAGATGGACATTTCTCCGGGGCCCAGAAACTTTCTTCAGACCCCCATCAAGGTTGATTCTTGCGCCCAACATTAGGGGGCCTGAGTGCAGGCTTGTCCAGTACAGCTCCACCCAGCCAGCTTCTCTCCTGCCTTCAAGACAGCATGTGGGACCTAGAACACTGAGCAGTCCATGACTCAAACCCATTGCTTGGGACACATGAGTACTTCTCCTGGTCAGCAAAGATCAAGCACAAACCCAACTTCTACCACCACAACTTGTCTTACCTGCAAGTGCCACCTATTGGCCTGGAGGCCTAACCACACAACCCATTATAACATCTGCTGACCCAAGTACACAGTGTCACACACAAGAACACTTTAAGCTACTAGTGACCTCTGCTACCACCATTGTGCACACCACCATGGCTATTCAGGAATTTGGGAGCCTACTCATCCAATCAACGCACCAGTATTTCACCTGCCATTTAAGAAAGCCACCACACTATCTATTTTTAAATCAAGAAAATCATACAGACTCTTTATCATTGAACACATCCAGAAGCAAGCGAAACTACTCTTCTCAACATACATCACAGTCACATCCACAAGAAAAAAAGACGTTCCACCCCAACTAAAATAAATTAAGAAATAAGAAGTGACCATTTCTCCAGATGCAAATAAATCTGCTTAACACCACAGGAAGTATGAAAGAGCAAGGTATTATTAAACCCCCAAAGGAATACAGTAATTTTCTAGCAATGGATCTCAACCAAAAAAAAACCTCAAAATGCAAGATAAAGAATTTTAAATATTGACTTTAAAGAAGCTTAATGAAATTCAAGATAAATTTGAAAACTAATACAAATAAATCAGAAATCAATTCAAGCTATGAATGAGAAATATATCAAGGAGATAGATACCTGAATTTTAAAAACCTCCTGAAAATTTAAAAAAGTATTGAAAGAATTACAAAATGCGGTTGAAAGTATCAATGATAGACTACAGAAGAAAAGAGAATCTCAGAACTTGGAGACATCTTTTGAATTAATCCAATCAAACAAAAATTAAAAAGAATTAACAAAGTCTTTGAGAAGTATGAGACTATAAAAAGTAAGTGGACTTATGAATCATCAATATTCCTACAGGAAAAGAGAAAGCAAAAGGTTTAGCAACCTATTTAAGGAAATAGTTGACTAAAACTTCCCTGACCTAGCAGGATAATTAGAAATCCAGATACAAAAAACCCAATGATCACCAGTGAAATACATTGCAAAGTGGACTTTATCACAACATATTGCCATCAGACTGTCCAAAGTCAAAGTGAAAAAAATTCTAAAATCAACAAGAAAAAAAGCATCTAATCACCTATATAATAAACCCCATGAGACTAATAGCAGACTTCTCAGCAGAAATTTTATAAGCCAGAAAAGAACAGAATGCAATTTTCACAGTGATAAAATTTTAAAAACCTGCCAGTCACAAATATTAGATCATGCTGGAATAAGCATCATAAATGAAGGAGAAATATAGTCATTCCCAGAAAAGCAAATGCTAAGAGAATTCATCACCACTAGACTAGCCCTACAAGATATGCTCAAAGGAGTCATAAACATGGAAACACGTGGGGCACAGTGGCTCATGCCTGTAATCCCAGCACTTTGGGAGGCCAAGGTGGGTGGATTGCCTGAGCTCAGGAGTTCAATACCTGCCTAGGCAACATAGAGAAATTCTGTCTCTACCAAAAATACACAAAAAAATTAGCAAGGTGTGGTGACATGTGTCTGTGGTCCCAGCTTTTGGGAGGCTGACGTGGGAGAATCACTTGAGCCTGGGAGGTAGTGGCTGCAGTGAGCCCAGATTACACCACCACACCCCAACCTGGTTGACAAAGTGAGACTTCACCTAAAACAAAACAAAACAAAAAAAAAAACCCATGGAAACAAAAGATCAATATTTGCCTTCGTAAAAACATACAAAATCACAAAACTTACAGGTCTTAGAAACCAATTACACGAAGGAGAAATACAAAAGAATCAATTAGCAACACAGAAGATCTCCACCAAACCACAAAAACAGGGGAAAGAAAAAAATTTACAAAACAACTCGGAGACAATTAACAATATGACAGAAACAAAATCCCATATATCAATATTATCCTTAAATGTAAATTCATTAAATGCTCCACTTAAAAGATATAGATTGGAGGAATGGATTTAAAAACATGATCATATTGGCCAGGCGTGGTGGTTCATGCCTGTAATCCCAGCACTTTGGGAGGCCAAGGGGGGCAGGTCACAAGGTCAGAAGATCGAGACCATCCTGGCTAACACAGTGAAACCAAGTCTCTACTAAAAATACAAAAAAAATTAGCTGGGCGTAGTGGCGGGCACCAGCAGTCCCAGCTACTTGGGAGGCTGGGGCAGGAGAATGGTGTAAACCTGGGAGGCGGAGCTTGTAGTGAGCTGAGATCGCACCACTGCACTCCAGCCTGGGTGACAGAGGGAGACTCCGTCTCAAAAAAAATAAATAAATAAAAATAAATAAATAAAAACATGATCATATCACATGTTGCTTGCAATCAACTCAACTTATCAGTAAAGATATATATAGACTGAAAGTAAAGGAGTAGGAAAAAAATATTCCACACAAATGGAAACCAAAAGTAAACAGAAGTAGCTATACTTACGTCAGATAAAAAAGATCTTAAAAAAAAAAAAAAAGAAAGGCCAGCTTTGGGAGGCCAAGTCGGGCAGATCACCTGAGGTCAGGAGGTCAAGACCAGCCTGGAAAACATGGTGAAACACCATCTCTACTAAAAATACAAAAGTTAGGTGGGTGTCGTGGTGGGCACCTGTAATCCCAGCTACTCAATAGGCTGAGGCAGGAGAATCGTTTGAACCTGGGAGGTGGAGGTTTCAGTGAGCCAAGATTGTGCTATTGCACTCCAACCTGGGTGACAAGAGCAAAACTCCGTCTCAAAAAACAAACAAACAGGCCGGGTGCGGTGGCTCACGCCTGTAATCCCAGCACTTTAGGAGGCCAAGGGGGAGGATCACGAGGTCAGGAGATCGAGACCATCCTGGCTAACATGGTGAAACCCCGTCTCTACTAAAAATACAAAAAAATTAGCCGAGCGTGGTGGTGGGTGCCTGTAGTCCCAGCTACTGGGGAGGCTGAGGCAGGAGAATGGCGTGAACCCTGGAGGCAGAGCTTGCAGTGAGCCGAGATTGCGCCACTGCCCTCCAGCCTGGGCGACAGAGCGAGACTCTGTCTCAAAAAAAAACAAAGTCATTTTATAATGACAAACGGATATAGTTAACAGACGATATAATAATGCTACAAAATATGCACCCAACCCTGGAGCACTCAGATTCATAAAACAAATATTACTAGACCTAAAGAAAGAGATAGAGAGCAACACAATGATAGTGGAGGACTTCAACAGTCCACTCACAGCACTAGACAGATAATTGAGGCAGAGAAGCAATGCAGAAATATTAGACTTAAAATAGACTTTAGATCAAATGGACCTAACAGATACTCATAGAACATTCTACCCAACAATTGTAGCAT
Organism: Homo sapiens; assembly: GCF_000001405.40. Taxonomy (NCBI): domain Eukaryota; kingdom Metazoa; phylum Chordata; class Mammalia; order Primates; family Hominidae; genus Homo; species Homo sapiens. The sequence continues at coordinate 83,777,533 of NC_000010.11, forward strand.
ATATATTATTCCCATCAGCAAATGAAACATTCTCCAAGTTAGACAATACATTAGTCTATAAAACAAGCACAATAAATTTTTAAAAATCAAAATTAAATCAACTACATTCTCAGACCACAGTGGAATAAAACTAAACATTACTACCAAGAAGTATTCTGGAAACTATACAAATACTTGGAAATTAAACAATATACTCCTGAGCAATTTTGGGGTCAACAACAAAATTAGGACAGAAATTTAAAAATGTTTTGAAACAAATGTGAATAAAACATACTAAAACTTCTGGGATACAGCAAAAGCAGTGCTAAGAGAGAAGATTATAGTGTTAAATATCTACATCAAAAAATAGAAAGATCACAAATTAATAATGTAATGTCACACCTCAAGAAACTAGAAAAAGCAAACCAGAACTGAAGCTAGTAGACTAATAACAAAGATCAGAGAAAAATTAAACAAAATTGAGACCTAAAAAACAACACAACGGATCAACAGAACAAAAAGTTGGTTATTTGAAAGAATAAACAAAGAATGAAATCATATCTTTTGTAGCAACACGAATGGAACTGGAGGCCATTACCCTAGGTGACATGACTCAGAAACAGATAGCCAAAAGCCACAGATGCTGTCTTATAAGTGGCAACTGTACACATGGACATACGGAGTGGAATAATAGACATTGGAGACTTCAAAATGTAGTAGAAGGGTGGGAGGGGGGTAAGAGATGAAATACTACCCATTAAGTACAACATACAGTATTTGGGTGATGGCTATACTGAAAGCCCTGATTTCATCACAATACAACATATCCATGTAAGAAAATTGTACTTGTACCCCCTAAATTTATGAAAATAAACAAATAAAATTTTTAAAAACTAAGTAAAATAAATATGGAGTCAATTTTTCAAAAATGTAAATGGGATCACCAGGCATTGTGCCACTTTTTTTGGTGGTAGAGGGTGCAGTGTGTGTGGAGTAACTCATCCTATATTTTGCACAGTGTACTCTGATATGTCCCAGATCACTGGACACTATAACTCTAGCTCTGGTGGTTGTTCTTGTATTGTTGTAGATTTTCTTCCACACCTTCTGGTATATGTGAATGTGACCATGCAATCTAAAATATATGCTATTCCTGCTGTCCCAGTTCCTTCCCAAAATGTCATTATAGTGGACAAGCATGATGGATTTTCTCCTGTTGCCCTGTAATTAAAATATATATGTGTTTTACTCTGATCTATGCCCTTAGAGGCTGAGCTCTCAGGCTCTAATGCTGCCTGGCTTCCAAATGTATTTAGCTCCTAGGAAGTACTGGCAAGATACTGAAGGTTGGGAGGAAAGGGGCCTTGTTGCTATTGCCTGACTTTCCCTTTCCAAGGCTTCATTTGGCAGAGGCTGCATTCCACTACTGAAAACCACAACTTCCATTGGGTGCCCCCTCAATACAATTACAGCTCTTTTTGAGTTCTATTATTCCTCACCCCCCTTCATTTGCCCCTCAGGACTGGAGATGATAATGGCTTTCTGCTATTATTAATCCCAGAGTACTCCAACATGTCACTATAGTAACCCTTAAGTCTGTTTAGGCCTTCATAAAGAGTCCCATCACTAAACTCTCTTTAATTATCTATTTTGAGTGTGCCTTCAGTTCCTTGCCAGACCTTTGAGTTACAGAACAAGTAAGTATCACTTACTGAAAGGTGTTCCCTTACAATTGTGCTAAGGATAAATATCCTCCAGATCAGTAACTGAATAGCAGATTCCAGGAACTATACTGATTGGTTCTGGAAAATAGTCCACATCTAGAAACAGGTAGCTGAAATTACAGTCACTACCTAATAATGGTTTTTATAATCCATTGTCATGTTTCAAGATGCATCTTTTTGTGAAAAAAAATGGGTTATTACCACTGTATTTTCCAAGTCTTTG